>NC_000017.11:5794141-5945656 GCF_000001405.40 Homo sapiens | reverse complement strand
GGTGTGAGCCACCTCGCCTGGCCCACATAGTGATTTCTAATAAGATAGAGTAGCAATCCCAAAAGCCTTTCCCAGTGCACACTGTGAACATCCCACATACCTGCTCACACACACACCTGGCCCTAGCCTTCAGAATGGCCAGCAGAGCACTTCCATCCTTCCTTTGGCCTTAAGCAGTGGGTTTCTGCAGACAGAACAACAGCTCTGCTTCTCAGCCCTAACAACATAAAGGGCAGTTTCTCAGAGACAAGAGGGAAGAGACTGCTGTTACCCCAAACGCCCATGGACTGTCCTTGCTTATGTCCACTCCCGAGTAGTGTCCTCATTTCCATTCCATTTGTGACGCCAGTCAGACGTGCAACTTGGGTGGCAATCAAGCCCAATCTTTCTTGTATGTTTGCAGTCCAGCAGGTGGCTGGGGGCACAGCCTCCCTCTCCATTTTGGAGGAGCAAAGGGGTATCTTCTTTAGACTGAACAATGGCCGAGTAGCAAGGGATCATCTTGAATGTCAGCCTCCTGTACTCAGAAACCATCAAACCAAGCCACAATGAGACCGAGTCAGACGCAACACTAAGGACCAAGGCCAGTACCTCGCAGCCTCTGAGCCTCTTTCCTGCCTGCGCTTTGGAGGGATCCAGGATGCCTGGGCAGCAATGGCCACAAAGAGAACCTTGTTCATTCCAGGGATGTGATGAAAGGGTGACCTGGGATGGCAGCCGAGCAGCTGGGACCCTCCGTATGGCTCATAAGTATAATTTTCCCGTGGTAGCAGAGGTTCTTTTAGGCAAAGGTAGTTAATCTCTTTTGAAGTGACAGGTGGTTGGAACAGTTTCTTTTACTTTCAGCAAACCCACACAAGGTACAAGAAGCCTCATGCACAGAAGGGAGGAATTAGTCACATGCAACAATTGGGACCTAATTTCTTAGCTGCCAAACAGGAATGAGGAAAAGAGCCTTGGGCTTTTTGAAGAATCTCTTTTATGCTTCCAGTAAATATATCTCAAATCAAGTTTATTGTTTTCAGTTGCAAGTGACAGACAATCCAGAATAAACTCATTAAGACAAAAAAGAAAATTGATTGCCATATAACCAAAGAGTCTGAAGCAAGCATCAGGCACGGGCTGATCAAGGGTTTGAATTACGTCACCAGCAACTTCTCTGTCTCTCTCTTCATGTCTTCATTTTTCTCTCTGTGTGGATTTCTTTCTCACTTGAGCACTTCCCTTGTGGCTGAAAAATGACCATTAGAAGCTCCTGGGGACTTATACTTCTAGGCTCAAATCCAGTGGGCAGGAGGAAATGCTTCCACATCTTTGTCCTGACAGTCACAGCAAAATCATGATGTTCTCTCTGATGGGACAAGCTTCGGTCAGGAGACATCCATGAGCCAATCACGAAGGCCCAGATAATGCGGCGTACTAACTAGCATTAGGCTGGGTTGTATGCTCCATCCTGGTATGTGACTGAGACCGAGGGAGGGGCAACCCATAAACAGAATTGAAACTGTTGCCAGGAGACCAGGCAGAAGGAGGTGTGTGGGTGCTGAAGAGGAAAACAACCATTATCCTCTACAATTACTAACATTTCATGAGCTCCAGCTGTGTGCAGACGGCTTTCCATGCCATCTCTCATTTATCCTGCCAACAGCACTGTCCCTATTTTATAGATAACACAACCGAGGGTCAATGCAACTAAAGGACCTGCCCCCGTGTTAGCCAGCTCATGAGTGGCAAAGGCAGAATTTGAAACTGGGATCCTCAGTCTGTGCTTCTCACAGCCACAGCCTCCATGCAGCCTTCTTGAGCTCAGTCACGAAAGACTGCCGGGGAGGCCCTGAGCCGTAACCCACCCACAACACGCTCAGCCCATGGCCATGCCTAACTCTGACACTGCGATTATATGACGATACATTTGTGCTTCTTTGTTGAATATGTTTGGTCTGGATTTTCTGTCACTGGAAATGGAAAGAACCCTAATGGATAAAGCAATCACTGTTAGCACAGCTGGTCTATTTTCAGAAAGTGAACTTTTCCTACTCCCTAAGAACTCAGCTTCTGCAAAGAGCAAAGAGTCCATCTATCCCTGGTATCTCAACGCCACCAGCTGTGGACACATCAGCAAGTTCAAACTCATCTTCAGAAATAATCGTTCCTTTTCCAAGTGAATCACTTCCACCCCCATCCCCAACTCCTTCTCACTAATCACAGTCAAGACATGCTGTTGATTTCAGCTGTTCCTCCGCTGAATCAAGAAGCTTCTTATCTTATCTGAACCAGATACAGCCCCTTCAGGGAGCCGTCCGGCCTCGCAAGGCAGAACATCTTCCGCAAAGAACACCCAATGTTGAGTGCCCCAAAGCATCTGTCTTCATGATGAGCTGACAGAGAGAAATCAATGCAGGAGCAAAGATAAGCTTCCAGGTGAACGGTGGGAGCAGATGACGGCTGGCAGTGCTGTTTCAGATGTCCGAAATTTAGGTTGACAAAGCCAAGGAGAGAAATTCAAGCCCTGAATTCAGCTGTTTCGCCTGCGTCTGAAACACGAGAGAGACCTGTCCCGGGGCTTCTCTTGACTGCTCTTCCTGTCCCTTTAGAGGTCAAAGCTTCCCCTGATGGCTCCTTCCCCACCCAGCATCCAGCACAGCTGCGCTTTGCAGATCTTTAGAGGGACAGCAATGCTTTCCACGTATTTCCACTGTGCTCTGATAAACACATATCCCCCTTCGAACTCATTATCTGCCCTCACCACCTGCCTCCACCTCCATTATAGTCTCTGTTTTTTGCTGAATGGCTCTAGGCAGGCTAAAAATACCAACATTTCGGTTCCCCACACACTCTCGTCTGATCAGTGTCTAAACCAGGGGTTTGCAGCCTTAGCGGCACATTAGATTCACCTGGAGTTTTGTTTTTCATACAGATGCCTGCCCCACCCCTTTCATCTCCGGCAGGATAAACTTCTTCAGCTATGACCAGCTCAGAACACTCCTCTAAATGTATGAAACAACCCACACACTTGCCATGTGGGAGATGCTCTGATATTTTCTACACTACTCTTTCTCTCTTTTTGTTAGGCTCATCATGATCTGCGAAGAGCTCACGCAGACTGGAAAAAACTTACCTGAGATATGAATTCGTGTCATTCTCTCTGTATTTCTCTCTATCCCAGTTTCAGGCCCATAATCCTTTTCTTTTCTTTCTTTTTTTTTTTTTCTTCTGCAATTCCCTGTCTTAGAGACAATTTTTTTTTTTTTTTTTTTTTGGCCTGGCAGAATACAGAAACTGCCTGAACTCAAAGGTTTTCCAGACTTTTGTGAAATCCTCAACTGTTTGATGAGGTTATGCTTGATATTTCTGAGAGGGAAGGAAAGAATGGCTTCGGGAAGTGACAAGAGGTTTGGGGCTGGTTTCTACCAGACTGGAAATAGGAAAGACCTTGGCGATTCTAGAGTAGCTGGGAGCTGTGTCCCATGTGCTAGGCGTGTCCTGGGGAGGACTCCTCCTCCCCTGCTCCTCCTCCTGCATGCTGTCCTTGCAAAGTTGGATGCTAAAATTTCCCAGCCGTGGCAAAAAATTCTCAGCCCCCAAGGGAATCAGAAAGCTGCTGGACTTCCAGGGACCACACTGGGAAATGAGGATTCTGTAACAATGCCCGTAATGGCATAGAAATTAAACACCTAGACTACTTTCCGGGTACCCCTTAAACTCCTGAAATCTTCACGGAGCCCAAGAAATGGGGAGGATGAGGAGCCTGTCGATGAATGAAGCTGACTCTCCCACCCTCCTGGTGAGATACGGACTCAGACTTAGGTCGATGTAGAATAAAATTAAGAATTGTAATATTCGTTTTGTTCCTGCATTTGTGAAATGAGAGTCACATCCATGGTATTTAATTCTACTTCCACTGGTTCCCGCTCTTCATCCTCTCCCCACCATCTGCACTGCCCCTGCTCTGGTTTATACGAGATTAGATTCACTGCTCTCACCCATTGTATAAACAAGAAGGCAAGGCCCACTGGGATAAAGGACTTGGTATGGTCACCCCGCAAGCTGATAGCCAAGTTGGTCCTTCAAGTCCAGCTTCCATAATAGCCCACACTGGAAGTGGGAGACAAAGCCAGAAATGCTGTAAAGGGAGAAAAACAGGTTGCTGCTGCTCAAAGTGGCTCCCCAGGCACTTCCCACAGTGCCCACACAGGCACAGCCAGGTCAAAGGCCCAATTGCCTACAGTCCACCCTCACCCTGCCCTAGAGGGGAGGAGCTTAGAACACGCAGCCCTGTTACATAGAATGGTGTTGCCCACTCCCCAAAGGCCTCGCCCAAAGCAGAAAGCCCTGTGGGTCCAAGGATCCCAGCATTGTTGTGGGCAGGCAAAAGGTTCAGCGTGTGTGATTCGGAACAGAAACAGAGCAGGAGACGGCCCAGTGTTCTCTGCAAACATCAGCCTCACTGAGCAGGATCAGAGCTTAAGCCCGATACACAGATTTCATAAGGTGTTTAAAACCAACTCAGCATCATCAACTTTAAACCTTCATGCCAATCCCAATTTCCTAGAAAATCTGTCCCTTAGTTTAAGTCCCTCTGCCCTTTACAAACTTTCTGACCATAGTACCATAGATCTTTGAAAATTACAAAACTGCATTTCTTTTTTCCTTTTGCTTTGTTTTGTTTTTTTGAGCTGGAGTTTCGCTCTTGTCGCCCAGGCTGGAGTGCAATGGCACAACCTCAGGTCACTGCAACCTCCGCCTCCTGGGTTCAAGTGGTTCATCTGCCTCAGCCTCCCGAGTAGCTGGGATTACAAACATGTGCCACCACACCTGAATAATTTTTTCTATTTTTAGTAGAGACGGGGTTTCACCATGTTGGCCGGGCTGGTCTCAAACTTCTGACCTCAAGTGATCTGCCCGCCTTGGCCTCCCAAAGTGCTGGGATTACAGGCGTGAGCCACCACGCCTGGCCCATTTCTTTTATTTATTTAAAGTGGTGAAATATACGTAACATAAAATTTACCATTGTGACAATTTTTAAATATACAGTTCTCTGGTATTAAGTACATTCACGCTGCTGTGCCACCCTCACCACCATCCGTCTCCAGAACACTTTTCATCTTGCAAAATTGAAACTCTGTACCCATTAAACACTCACTCCCCATCCTCTCTCCCCTTTGACAACCACCTTTCCACTTTTTGTCTCTGAATTTACTTTAGGGACCGCATATAAGTGGAATCATACAGTATGTGTCCTTTTGTGAATAGCTTATTTCACTTAGCATGGTAACAGTTTCATCCATGTTGTGTAGCAGGTGTCAAAATTTCTTTCCTTTTTTTTTTTTGAGAGGGAGTTTCACTCTTGTTGCCCAAGTTGGAGTGCAGTGGCTTGATCTCGGCTCACTGCAACTTCCATCTCCCAGGTTCAAGTGACTCTCCTGCCTCAGCCTCCCGAGTAGCTGGGATTACAGGCACCCGCCACCACTCCTGTCTAATTTTTTGTATTTTTAGTAGAAATGGGGTTTTACCATGTTAGCCAGGCTGGTCTCGAACTCCTGACCTCAGGTGATCCACCCGCCTCAGCCTCCCAGAGTGCTGGGATTACAAGCGTGAGCCACCACGCCCAGCCAAAATTTCTTTCCTCTTTATGTCTGAATAATATTCCAGTTTATGCATATATCTTATTTGGTTTAGCCTTTCATCTGTCAGTGGACACTTGGGTTGTTTCCACCTTCTGGCTGTTGTAAATAATGTCACAATGAACATGGGTTTGCAAATATCTCCTCAAGACCCCACTATCAGTGCTCTTGGACATATACCCAGAAGTGGAATTGGTGGATCACATGGTAATTCTATTTTTAATTTTTTTAATGAACCATTATACTGTTTTCCTTAGTGGCCAAAAGTGCATTTCTTGGGGAATTTTCCAATATTTAAAATGAATCTTTAGAATAAAGCTGACTTCTATTTCATTCAGAAAGGGTTTGATTTCTTAATTTCTAGAAGGTAACCAGAAACTGCATAAAATATTTATGCAGAACATTATAAATTATGCTTTGTCCAAGCTGGCTGCCTCTGAATGAGACACCGGGTTCCCACTGCATCCCTGGCCTCAGAGTGGGTCATTCAGTCTAATCTTAGTGGAGAGCCAGTCCTCTGGGACACAGCCACACCTCTCAGCCACTCCAGGCCCTGGACAATGGTGACTTAGTCTTCAGATCACTGAGCCTGAAGGTGAAGAGGGTTAGTTACTGTCCTGGGCTGTGACTGGCAGCTCCCTCAGGACAATGTAGAGTTGGGGATCGGCAATTTCCCCCAAATGCTGTTGGCAGAAGAAGGGAGGAGGATATTGGGTGGGCCATAACCAGACATTCACTACATTTGTCTTTGGCTTACCACTTTACATGCATGTGCGCACATGTGCACACACACACACACACAGCAATTTTTACACACACACAGCAATTTTTACTAACATTAAGAACTTGGAGCCGGGCGCAGTGGCTCACTCCTGTAATCCCAGCACTTTGGGAGGCCGAGGCAGGTGGTTCACCTGAGGTCAGGAGTTCGAGACCAGCCTGGCCAACATGGTGAAACCTGGTATCTACTAAAAATACAAAAAATTAGCCGGGTGTGGTGGTACATGCCTGTAGTCCCAGTTACTCAGGAAGCTGAGGCAGGAGAATCGCTTGAACCCAGGAGGCGGAGGTTGCAGTGAACTGAGATCACACCATTGCACTCCAGCCTGGGCAAGAAGAGTAAAACTCTGTCTCAAAATTTAAAAAAAAAAAAAAAGATCTTGGAGGAGCTGCATTTAAATAACCACTTCGTGGTTGGCCAAAAACACAATACCTCCCTCCCTCCTTTAAAAGATGAAAACCCAATGCTGTGTCCAGCTTTAAAGCGTAGGATCTGGCCGGGCGCAGAGGCTCACAGCTATAATCCCAGCACTTTGGCAGGCAGAGCTGGGCAGATCACTTGAAGTCAGGAGTTCAAGACCAGCCTGGCCAACGTGGCGAAACCCTGTCTCTACTAAAAATACAAAAAGTAGCCAGGCATAGTGGCAGGCATGTGTAGTCCAAGCTATTCGGGAGGCTGAGGCAGGAGAATCACTTGAACCCAAGAGGCAGATGTTGCAGTGAACTGAGATGGTGCCACAGCACTCCAGCCTGGGTGACAGAGCAAGACTCTGTCTCAAAAAAAATAAAAAATAAAATAAAGTCTAGGATCTCTGGAAAATGTCCCTTCTTCTTCAGGTTTTATCATAATCCTTCTGTTTTGATACTCTGCCACCTCTGAACACAATAGGAAGTTTAACAACCATTTATATACCTTACAGATATTAATAAGAAAAGATACATCTTAACATTTTAGCAGAAAACAAATAAAAAATAAAGTAAAGGCCATAGCCTTCATTTCTGCCTTAAGTCACATGACAAAGCTCATATTTATGACTTTCTCGCCTATGCTAATCCTTCCTAATTCCCCTCGCTTATGTGCTTTAGTTGACCAGGGATCCTCACCGGGTAAATCAATACAAATATTGCATCCTTCAATGTCTTCTCCTTTGCTGATCTGCCTGCAGCACCCGTTAACTTTTATCCCTGGGTATAGTGGCAGAAAGAGGGGGGTTTCCATTCAAGCTTCATTTGCGGAGCAAAATCCCTAAATCCCTCCTTCCACAGAACAATCAACATAGGAGACGCCAAATTCCCCTCTAATGATAACCAAGGGACGATCTTGGGTTCCAATGTGATGGAATTTGATTGTGATTCTTGGTGGAAGCATTTCTCCCTCAGGAACGAAAACCTATCAATACATGATGGAAGTGAAGGCATATGATGAAAGAGGACCCTTGGGGACACCCCTTCTCCACTGTATATTGGGTGTGGGTTCAGAATATATTTCACACCCTGCAAGACAGCATCCCAAAGTTATGAGCTATCGTCTCCAGCTGCGACTGTTATTCTAGCTGATTTTTCAATAGACCATTCAAATCTTTTTAGAGGCAGCTTCTTGTTGAAAATGGGGTACCAGTGAGATTCATAGGCCTCAGTCCATGGACCCCCGTCTTTTGTTGTAATATAACTCCTTAAATGGAAGGTGATCTTTACACGATGCTATGTGCTACAAAAGCCATTCACAAGCCAGGTGCGGTGGCTCACACCTATAATCCCAGCACTTTGAGAGACTGAGGCGGGCAGATCACCTGAGGTCAGGAGTTTGAGACCAGCCCAACCAACGTGGAGAAACCCCATCTCTACTAAAAATACAAAACTAGCTGGGTGTGGTGGTGCATGCCTGTAATCCCAGCTACTCAGGAGGCTGAGGCAGGAGAATCGCTTCAATCCGGGAGGCAGAGGTTGTGATGAGCTGAGATCGTGCCACTGCACTCCATCCTAGGCAACAAGAGCGAAAAAAAAAAAAAAAGCCATTCGCTAAATTCATAAGTGGTGGTTATGGCCAAGGCATGCAGGCAGAGAAAAACAAGCCCAAATTGCAAATTGGTGTGTATTCCGGGGAGTTCCCATTGTAGCCACTTCCATAATGAAAACTGCCCACTAGGTAATCAGGCTGCCACCACATGGCTGGCTGGTCCCCTCAGAATATGGTATAGAGCCCAAAGTCTGGGCTCTACTCTACTCCCAGATCTGCCTTCTGTAGATCCACTTATCTGTGCCTTCCATTTTCTTTCATCTTTTAAATGGGATAATAGAATCAACTAAGGATTAAATGAGTTGAATGAATAGGGCCAGGCACTGGTGGACTTTGAAGGCATTATATACCATTATTATTACCATACCAGACATTTTCCGTGGGTCTCCCACAATTCTGCAGGCCTTCTGAGCAGAGACATTGACAGCTTTTGTACCACACTATCTTTTCAAGGATGCTTGTGTAGCAAACAGCCTTAGAAGATATACCATCTCCCTCCAGGGAAGAGGGAAGATTTGATTGCTGTCCAGACTAATAAAAAGAATGTTTCCCTCTGAGGCAAAGGATGAAGAAGGTTTGCCTGCAGCTCACTATAAAACGTTGGAGCTTCCTAAGCTTGGGTTCCTTCGCTGAGACACAAACCTACTGCCTATGCAGCATCCACCTGGGCCATTTTGCATCACCTCACGGAACTTGGGGATAAGGACAGCTGATGCAAACATGAAGCTCATGCTGTGTGCTGTGCCTGCTGTGAGTAATAGTCTTTTTTCTCTGATCCAGGAGTCTCGTGTCTTCTGCCAGCATTCATGAAACTGTAACAAACTAAATAATTAGCTTGCAAAGTAAGATCCCAGACCTTTCAGAGTTCTTTAGAACCAGAAGCATCAAGTTAGCTGCTACTGCTGGCAAATCAGAATCAATAGCAACGATTTCCAGAACAAACTTGACCCACATTGTTGAACCCATTCACAGGCTCTATGCAGGCCTTCATGGATACCTTATCCAAGACGTATTTGAGAAGTTTTGTTTCCATATACAGCACTTTTCTTTGATGGAGTGTTGTTGGGAAAACCTAACTTCATGGCTAAATCAATCAATAACCCCTGAACAGCTCAGATTGCATGGTTGTCTATCTTCCCTGACTAGACATTCAGCATGCATTTCACAAAAGAAGTTTAATTACTTGCTAATGCTCCAACATTTAAGGAGCTCCACTGTGATTTTTCCAATCAGGGCTCATCCAAGGCACCATAGAGTATCCCAAAAGGCCAAATGACAAAGTATTTAATAATTTAACTGCAGCCTGGAAGAGCTGGAAAACTGTTAGGGAGATTAATGCCTCTCTGTCCCGACCCCATCCCTAAGATGGCCACATTCTAATCCCCAGAACCTGTGAATAAGTTAGTTACATGCCAAAGGGGAATTAAGGAAGCAGATGGAATTAAGGTTGCTAATCAGCCGACCTTAAAATAGGAAGATCATCCAATTGAGCCCAATATAATCACAAGGGTCCTTACATAGGGAAAAGGAAGGCAAAAGAGAAGAGACAGGGTGATGGGATGTGATGTGATGTCATGTGATCAAGATTGAACTGGTTATTGCTGGCTTTGAAGATGGAAGGGAGCTACAAGCCAAGGAATATGAGAAGTTTCCAGGACTGGAAAAAGGGCGAGAAAACAGATTCTCACCTAGAGCCTTCAGAAAGGAACAGGGCTCTGCCAAGACCTTTATTTTAGCCCCTTGAGGCTTAGATTAGACTTCTGACCTACAGAACTGTGTGATAACAAATATGTGTTGCTTTAAGCCAATGAGTTTACGGTAATCCAATACAGCAACTACAGAAAACTAAAGCAAGAACTTCTTCATGCTCTGGGGTCTATTCAAAGCTGGTAGTAAACACCAATGAACAGGTCAAGACAGGGCAGTCAATGTGGGTGTGATGATGTCTCCAGATGCTCCAAGATTTGCTCCTCCTGTTAGTGGATACCATCTGAAATCCTTTCCTTCACGTGAAGGCTGGTGAGACACGATAATGCAGCAACAGCAACATCCATCCCTGAGTTTGGTTTTTGCAATCTCAACCCTGTGGCTACAAGTGGAGTAAGATTCTTTTACTATAGTCACATGATTTTCCATTACTGGTTGTCAGTTAACGTGCGTGTGTGTGTGTGTGTGTGTGTGTGTGTGTGTGTGTGTGTCAAGCCATAGAAGCTACTCTAACTTAAGCCAAAAAGGAATCTATTGGAAAGATGCTGTGTGGCTGATAGACAGATGCAGGGTTGAACCATAAGACATCCGTAGGGACAGAAGCTACTTCCACTTATTTGAACAACAAATTCCTCCACTTTCCTTCACACTCACCTCACAGGCCTATTATGAGGATCAAATCAGAGCCTGGAGTGGAGAGAAGGGTGTCAGAGAAATGGTGAAACCCTGTGCACCAAGGTTTTTCTTGCTACCACCTTCATTCAGACCTTTCATTAATAGTTAGTTCAATTATTGTGGAAGACAGTATGGCGATTCCTCAAGGATTTAGAGCCAGAAATACCATTTGACTCAGCAATCCCATTACTGGGTATATACACAAGGGATTATAAATGATTCTACTATAAAGACACATGCACATGTATGTTTATTGCAGCACTATTTACAATAGCAAAGACTTGGAACCAAATCAAATGCCCATCAATGATAGACTGGATGAAGAAAATGTGGCACATATACACCATGGAATACTATGCAGCCATAAAAAATAATTGGTTTATGTCCTTTGCAGGGACATGGATGAAGCTGGAAGCCATCATTCTCAGCAAACTAACACAGGAACAGAAAACCAAACACTGCATGTTCTCACTCATAAGTGAGAGTTGAACAATGAGAACACATGGACACAGGGAGGGGAACAACACACACCAGGGCCTGCCAGTGGGTGGGGGGCAAGGGGAGGGAGAGCATTAGGACAAACACCTAATGCATGCGGGGCTTAAAACCTAGATGATGGGTTGACAGGTGCAGCAAACCACTATGGCACATGTATACCTACGTAACAAACCTGCACATTCTGCACGTGTATCCCAGAACTTAAAGTAAAATTAAAAAGAAAAAAAAAGTTGACATGGGGGTATCCTTGTGGATAGACCTTGGGAATTCTAACGGAGGCTCAGAGCTCACATTTTCCAAGAAGCTCCCCCAGACTCAGATGTCTCCTTTCCTCTCCTCTGCCAGCACCCTCTCCACCCTCAGCCCCCAACCCCCAAAAGAGCCACACAGCAGACTTCCCTAGTGCCCTGGACCTTTAGTCTAATGATCAGAAAACTATTTTTCCCAGCCAAGTATTCTTCAAACTGGTGGAACCAAGATACAGAGTGGGGTAAGGCCCCAAGATAAGATTGGCCACCGAGGCAGCCATCAGTACATTCAAAGGAGGTCACCAAGAGAAACTGAGGCAGGATAGACATGAAGGAGAAACACCAGATTTTCTACTTTATTACAACTTCCTCAAACACACCGCTCAGCCAGCTGTTGAGGGTTTCAATAAGCCTGCTCTGTGCTGAGCTCTGCAGGCATCATCTCATCTAAGGCTGTAGTAACTCTATGCGGTACTAGGCCCATGTCGGAGATGATAACCAGTTTCAGAGAGAAGGGACTTCCCCAAGTGCACACCGCTTGCAAACGTCAGCGCTGGAATTTGAACCATCACCATGCTAGTCCTGATGGTACAGGACACCTCAGCCACCAGGGCACTATTTCTTTGCACAGTTCCCCACCAGCCTGTGGCTTTCTCTAATGCCCTCCTGTCTCCCGGGACAGAGAGCTCCCAGCCCAGGTGTCAACTCCCCCCGCCCCCCCTCCCCCGACAATCCCAGGCGAGGCAAATTGCAGCTGTTGTTAATTAGCAGGTATTTAACATCAAGGAGTCACTAATGCACCTGAAGAAGCTTGACAGCAAATAAAGTACTGAACCCCGGGCAGGACCAGCCTCCTTGCCTGCCATCTCGCTGATCTGTCAGCAGGCCAGGGTTTTCTTCTCTGCCCTTTCTATCCACTGAGACATGCAGGGGGAAAAAGGCCCTCTCTGTCCTCTGGCATTCATCTTCTTTGCTTGAGGCAGGTCTGCAATGTCAAGGGCTAATTCTACAGTGGATAAATCCTGATATGTGGATTGGCCCCAGCTTTAGGCTGAGACATGACCCTGGCCCCACAAAACTCAGTTTGTGCCTCCCCAATATTCCTGTAACAGGGACAGGGTTATCTTTTCCCTATTTTCACTGCCCCTCCCTTAGGTGGGCTAGTTGGGTGGTGTAAGAGGCAATCAGAGGCACAAGAGGAGCTTTCCCGGGCTCAAAGCCCTCACCTGCAGGTAACCCCACCCAAGAGAACCTTGCCTTCCCTCCTGACTCCTCTAGTCCTCATGCCGTCTTCTCTGAATGCCAGGGCTCCGTGCCCAGTGGCAACCAAGGAGCACCAGACAGCTCCTGGTTACCTCATGCCCCACAGGAAGTGTGAAAGTTCTCCCTAGCACACAAAAAGAAACTGAAGGAATTTTCTCTGAAGTTTCTGAGTGCCTAAACCCACTAAGGTCTTCATCATCTGGGGAAATCTAGAGGTTTGACATCCCATTGAAAATATATCTTGAGGTCAGGCGCGGTGGCTCACACCTGTAATCCTAGCACTTCGCGAGGCCGAGGTGGGCAGATCACTTGAGGTCAGGAGTTCGAAACCAGCCTGGCCAACATAATGAAACTCCATCTCTACTAAAAATTAAAAAAAAAATTCCGAGTGTGGTGGTACATCCCTGTAATCCGAGCTACCCAGGAGGCTGAGGCAGGAGAGTTGCTTGAACCCGGGAGGCGGAGGTTGCAGTGAGCCAAGACTGCACCATTACACTTTAGCCTGGGCAACAAGAGCGAGACTCCGTCTCAAAAAAAAAAAAAATGGTTAATATGGTCAATTTTATGTTTTGTGTATTTGACCACAACTAAAAAACCATTTGCTGCATAAATTTCATGAAAAGCCACAGCTGCCAAGTGGCAGGGATGAGCACAGAAACCATGAGAATGGGGAATCATCTTTGGATGGCCAGAGGAGCCCAGAGCAATGGGAAAACACCAGGTGAGGAGTCGGGTCCTGGGCAATGGTCCGGGCCCTGCCAGCTGGCCCACACACCACCCTGGGCCTGTCTTTTTCATTCACTGGTTTTTCTGGGCTCTAAAACCAAATCAACAAATGCCTTCAGATTATCTGACCCTGAGTGTGTCTCTTTGGTCACAGAACACCATTAAAGATGCCAAGAGCAGGCTCACACAGGGAAGTGTAAACTCTCTCATTCCTGGCCCAGCATCAGATGGAGAGAATGAGCTACTAATTCAGACGGAGGCACCAGGTGCCAAGAGGCGCCCGCAGTACTCCCCGCCTGCAGAGACAATAATGGTTTATGACTCTGAACTCGCCGGAAGGTTAGCTGGGTCAAAGCGGCAACGTGAGCGTTTGTTTAAATCTCTGTCCAAGAATCTCTCAACTTGCTGCTGGAAGATAATGAGTTCTGAGCCATGCAAGAGTCACACACTCTGTGGATTTGACACAATCTGCTCTTTGATGAGGATTCCATGCATATTAATCACTAAAAAGGGGGAAAAAAAGGAAAACATCAGATTCACTCAGAAAATGTTTACGGATCACTGCTATGCGCTGGACACTGTTCTGGGTGCTGGAGATAAGTAATAGGGGTAAACGGAAGAGACACGTCTCTGCCCTCAAGGAGTCTGCATTTTAATGGTGGATCCCCCAAGCATGGATGGAAGAGTCAGGGAGGAAAATAACACAAGGCAAGGGGATAAAGAGTATCGAGAGCACCGCTCAGAAAAGGCCCACACCTGTAATCCCAGCACTTCGGATGGCTGAGGTGGGAGGATCATTTGAGGTCAGGAGTTCAAGACCAGCCTAGCCAACATGGTGAAATCCTATCTCTACTAAAAATACAAAAATTAGCTGGGCATGGTGGCAGGTGCCTGTAATCCCAGCACTTTGGGAAGCCGAGGCAGGCAGATCACTTGAGGCCAGGAGTTCAAGACCAGCCTGGACAACACAGTGAAACCCCATCTCTACTAAAAATACAAAAATTAGCCAGGCGTGGTGGTGTGTGCCTATAATCCCAGCTACTCGGGCGGCTGAGTCAGGAGAATCACTTGAACTCAGGAGGTGGAGGTTGCAGTGAGCCAAGATTGTACCACTGCACTTCAGCCTGGGCTACAGAGTGAGATTCCATCTCAAAAAAAAAAAAAGAAGGAAAAAGAAAAGGCAATCAAGAAGGTCTCCTCACCTGCATGCTGATATTCATTGCAGCACTCATTACAATAGCAAAGATGTGGAATCAGCCCAGGTGCCCATTGACAGTGGACTGGATAAAGAAAATGTGGTACATATACACGATGGAATACTATGCAGCCATGAAAAAGAATGAAATCATGTCCTTTGCAACAACATGGATGCAGCTGGAGGCCATTATCCTAAGCAAATTAACACAGAAACAGAAAACCAAATCCCACAAATTCTCACTTATAATTGGGAGCTAAACATTGAGTACACATGACATAAAGATGGGAATAACAGATACAGGAGACTCCAAAAGGGGAGAGGGAGGGATGGGGGCAAGGGTTAAAAAATTTCCTGCTGGGGACTATGTTCACTCTTTGGGTGACAGGATCAATAGAAGCCAAAACCTCAGCATCACACAATATACCCTGTGACGAACATGCACATGTATCCCCTGAATCAAAATACTACGTTTAAAAAATTAAAAAATTTAAAAAAAATTTAAAAGCTATGCGTCTACCAAAAAAGTTCTCTTGAGTAAGTGCTGTCTGAGCCAAAGCCTGAATGACAGGCAGGAGCAACCATGCACAGAGCTGCGGAAGGAGCGTGTGGGGCAGAGGAAGACCAAGGGCACGCACCCCAAGATGGAATCTGGCCTGAATCAGCATCTTCCTCCAACAGCAGTGAGCAGAAGTCTCCAAGGAATGCCAGAGGCCTTGAGCTGAGTGAGGGCGACTTGGCAGGAGCAGAAGAGAACGCTTTGCCATCACTGGTCTCCAAAGAAAGCCGTGGTTTGGGTAATCCCTGAACACAGAGAACCCCAGTTGCAGAGAAGAAAGGAAGAACCGGGGGCTGCCCCAGCAGGTTTTCCCCGGGACGCAGTGGATAACACAAGCTCCCAGCTCCGAGCGATGGTCAGGCAGGCATTCACTGGACACAGCAACCACCAAGGCATTTGTCAGAATAAACAAGTTTTCCGTGTGAAGGACATCTTGATCACGGGTCAGACAACTAGGCGCTGGGCTGTCCGCCAGGTAAAAGAAGTATCCGTGAGAGGCACACTGCAGACAGCCATGCCTGGCTCTCCTTCTCTTCCTCTTAGGGTGAGATTGCTAGTGGCTCTGGTTCTGGGATCTCAATGTAGCTGGGGGATTACAAGACACAGGCAGGGATTTAGGAATGACCTGTGCCCTCACCTCCCAAGGCTGTGCCTACCTCCCCTGCTCACTTCTCTTGGGCCTCGCCAGCCTACTCTTTCCATGCACCAAGCTCATCCCCACCGCAAGGCCTTTGAACAAGCAGTTCTCTCTCTTGCTCTCCTTGCACAGCCAAATCCCTCTTGTTGTTCAGGCCCAAATGGCTCCTCTTCAGCAGAGACCTCCTCCACCCCACCCCTCTCCACCTGACGCTTGCTCTAGGTGCAATACGCTACTCTGCTTTCTTCAGGGCACGTCTTCTGTGAGATTGTCTGGCTACGACTCCTAGTTACAGTTCACATCCCAAGGGGACCGTGGAATTTATTGATGTGGGGCCTTGTCAAGGACAACACCTCTGTGAGAATGCGCAAACTTTAGAGCAGAGCTGGCATGTCGGTTGGCACTCAGGAAAGAGCTGACGGCTGGAAGGTTAAGACTGGCGGAGGGGGAGGAAGAAAAAGAGAAGGGGGGAGAAGAGAGAAGGAAGGAGGAGAGGAAGGACAGAAAGGAGGGAAGGGAGGAAAGAGGAAAAGAGAGAGATTTGGCCTCTGCCCTTAAGGACGTCACAGACTACCATGGGAATGGATGTGCAAACAAATAATCACAGTGGGGTACAACACGTGCTAATGCACAGACAGTAGAGAGGGCAGAATGGTGTGAAGCAAGTCAGGGCGTACTTCAGAGAGGCAGTGTCACAAGAGTTGGTTTTGAAGGATGAATAGGAGTTTTCCAGAGAGACATATTGGGATGTCATGTCTAGGGAGAGTCAATTACATTTGGAAAAGCCAAAGGGAGCGAAACAACATGGGGTTCTCAGGCAAATACATGTGACATTGGCATAGAACAGGCAACTGGGGATGACTGCTGGAGAATATACTGCAAAAAGCAGCAGAGCCATGTCTGAAAGGCCTTGAATGCCAGGCCCAAGGCCTAGGACTTGATGCCATAGGTGACCAGGGAGCAAGTGAAGAGTTTTATGCAAGCGAGAGACATGGGGCCAGATGTGAGTGGGAAAGATTGCTGCTGGGCAGTGTGAAGGATTGTCTAGTAGAGCGACCATGGCCTCACAGGGAGGCTGTTAGGCCATGCAAGGGCCAAGGTAAGACATGATGTCTTTGCTAGTGACGGTGGATAGAAAAGTGGGTGGGGAAATTCCAGAGATTTTTGAGGGGCAAAAGGGCAGGGCTTGGTGATTGAATATGGGGGTGAGGGACAAGGGAGACAGAGAAAAATGCCTCTGTTTCTGGCTTAGGGGCCAGCGAGGTCACCTCTGAGCTGAGAGCCCAGGACAGGAGCAGGCTCAGGTGAAGGTGATGAGCTCATTATGGACGTGTAGGTTTGAGGGTCTGTGACATATACTGGGGAGCAGTGTCGCAAATGAGTGTCTATATGGGGACACAGGAAGAAAGGGCTCCAGCCTGCTGCTCAGGCTTCTGAACAGGTAGGGTGGACCTAAAAGATTTTGCCTGAAAACCAAGAGAACATGCTGGAAAGGCAACGACCTTGTCTCTTCCTGCTTCCGCCGGAGAGTCACAGGGTGCTTGACCTTCTGTCTCTCTCTCTTTTATTGTCAAAAGATTCCATAACCTTTTATCTGCAAGGCTGAGAGAGGGCTAGTCCCATTATCTGCCTGTAGAAAGATTCTGGTATATGACCCCAGTCCACCTTCTGTGGGTGTAGACCTGCACCCCCCTTCCCTTTACAAATGGAGCATTCCTCATAACACAATGCTCAGGGCCACGGGAGGCAGTCGCAAGGCCTAATCTGCTTCCCTCTTCCTCAACCAGAATCCCCTTCCTCCTGCTACCAGATATGGGGGGCTACGGTGCTGATGAGGGGAAGTCTTATGGCACATGCCAGCCACAGATAACAAGGATTTCCGGATTCCTTCCTGTCTTCAAATTCTGTGTCCTAGGCAGGCACTGAGCTTCTGACCAGCCCTGCCTAAGGCTTCAATTCCCTGAGAAGGAAGAACTGTCAGAACGCCAGCCTTCCTTCCTTTCCCCAATCTAGAGACCCACACTCCATTCCCACCCCTGCAAACACTGGGACGGCCACGCAACTCCAACCTTCCTCTGCTTAAATCCTGTCCAATGTCACAATTTCTCGGCAGTGCCACTGCCTCCAGGAGGCCTTCTACAACGCTGCAGGGTTCGCAACTAAGACACACCCTGGCCTTGTGATTCTGTGGGTCCTCCTCTTGTCTCCCTTCCTCCCCCAGATCCCTGGAACTTTGTCTGGTTCATCAACATGAGGCTGGGACCGCCACACCAAGCCCAGGACAACACTCAGGCCAGCCTTTCCTAAAGGGCCAACTGCTGATTGGCCAAATCAGAGACAGCAGAGGGATCCATGAGCCCCGCTGGGTCCCTCATACATTTAACGGGTCTTATAAATCACATAAAATTTTATCATTCCTATAAATTATGTTTTTATGAAGCATGCAAATCACCTGTAAGACACCGCCTGTGGATATAGGTAATACTCAGAGAGATCTTGGTTATTCTAAAAGAGATGAGCATCCTCTCCCTCATGGGCTCAGCACCCCTCACCCTGCCCAGGAACCAGCACTCTCCTATCCAGGTGGAGAAAAAGGAGGCATCTACATAGTCAAGGGTTGGGGTTGGAGTGGAACAACATGGGTTAAAATTGCAGGTCTGCCACAAACAGGCTGAGACTTTGAGCAGGACACACAAACTCCCTCACCCTCAGCTTCATCTTCTACGAAATGAAGATAGCGCCACCTGACTCAGGTGTCTGCCATAAAGATGGACAGTCTTGTCAATTATAAAGCGCTATATACATTTTATGTTCATTATTTCCTTGGTTCCCAACTCTCCAGGGAGGTGGCACAGGAGTTTGGGCTTGTGTCCCAGCAGAGTGAAATTCTCAGTGACTTTGAGCAAGACTTGATCTTGGAGAACGAGGGAAAAACATGGACTTGGGAGCAGACCATGTCCTGGCTGTGTGACCTTGGGCAGCTTTCCTCACCTTTCTGAGACTCTGTGCCACCCACTATAAAGTGAGGATAAACAAGGGGAGCTGAAAGTCTTTTTTGTTTTTGTTTTTGTTTTGAAATAGAGTCTCGCTTTGTTGCCCAGGCTGGAGTGCAGTGACACGGTCTCGGCTCACTGCAACCTCCGCCTCCCGGGTTCAAGTAATTCTCTGCCTCAGCCTCCCTAGTAGCTGGGATTACAGGTGCCCACCACCATGCCCAGCTAATTTTTGTATTTTTAGTAGAGACGGGGTTTCACTATCTTGGCCAGGCTGGTCTTGAACTCCTGACCTGGTGATCCACCTGCCTCAGCCTCCCAAAGTACTGAGATTACAGGCGTGAGCCACTGCGCGCCCAGCCAGTGAAGAGGGATTACACAGGTAAAGAAAGGAAGAGGCCGGGTGAGGTGGCTCACACCTGTAATCCCAGCATTTTGTGAGACTGAGCTGGGAGAATCACTTGAGCCCAGGAGTTCAAGACAAGCTCAAGCAACCTAGGGTTACCCCGTCTCTACAAAAAATAAAAAATTAGCCAGGCATGGTGGCATGTTCCTGTAATCTCAGCTGCTTGGGAGGCTGAGGTGGGAGGATCACTTGAGTCTGAAAGGTCAAGGCTAAAGCACGTGGTGATGGTAATTGTGCCACTGCACCCCAGCCTGGGCAACAGAGCAAAACCCTGTCTCAAAGGAAAAAAAGAGAGAGTAGAGACGAGTGTAAAAACCAGGCGGACACCACTTTAACCAAGATGAACTGACTTTGCGTGTCTCCTGATAGGCTATACTGAGGACACAGCATCACTTCTGCAGGATTCTTGCAAAAAGGCAATCCTCAATGTAATCGTGAGCAAACATCAGGCAAACCACAGTGAGGAGACAGCCTGCCGAACAGATGGCCAGTATTCTTCAAAAGTTTCCAAACCATAAAAGATAGACTGAGGACTATCTCAGACTGAAGGAAACAAGAAACTTTGACAACGAAACACAATGTAGGCAATTGGCAAAATATGAACAGATTAGTTAGATTATCATATCGATGCTAAATTCCTGGTCGTGATCATGATACTGTGAGTATGGAAGACGATAACACTTGGAGAAGCTGGGTAAAGGTACAAAGGGACTCAGTACTATTTTTGAAACCTTGTTGTAAATCTAAAATTATTTCCAAGTTTTTTTAATATTTTAAATTCTAAAAAAAGACATTGATTCAAGCGAGGTGGGGCATGACTCACATCTCCCAGTATCAGGAGTCAGCGTGCCCAGGACCCTCTCCTCCACAACTCTATGAGACTCTGTGGTCATGAGGTGGGCTTAGGGAGAAGGGAGAGTCCTGCTTTCTTCCCAAATCAGAAGCAAAACTCTCTTAAGTCCAAAGCCCCACTAGCCCTAGGTAAGTCTCCCTCAGAGACACTGACAGAAGCAGAAAACAGAAAATCAGGTCTAATGGGAGTGCCTTTCCAACTCTCCCCACCAGCACCTGCGGGACTCCAGGCAAGAGGGACAGTCAGCCAGGAGAAGCTCTCTGGTCCCAGGACCGGGACCCCAGTATCTCACCCTGCATGGAAGGGTCCCCTTGGGACATTCCTGCTCCCTCCTTGTAACCCCAGCCCCTGCACCCTTGGGTTCAGTGCACTCAATCTGCATTCTCTACATTTTCACCGTGAGGATTTTATTGTACCAACAAAAAATCCCTTGGACGCTTGCAAAATTGTAGTCAACCTTTTAGCATCTTTTCTCTGAGAAAATGCATACTTGAAAAAACAAAAAGCAAATTTATTCACCTTTCAAAAGTAAATCTGTACCTTACCCATCACAATGAAATGCATACATCATTAAGAAAGGCTAGTGTGTTTATGTCTACAAAGGAGCTCGGATTATTAAGGATTCGCAAAGGAAGGGAACTCTCATGGGAAAATATCTCTTCTCCAGCAGACACCCCAACAGTGCTTTTCACCTCAGGACTCAGGACCCATGACCACAGGATCTAAGGATCTCAGGATCTCAGGACCTCAGGCCATGGGACCCTCAGAACACAGGACTTCAGAACCTCAGGATCCAGGACCCAGGACCTCAAGATCTCAGGACTTTGGGACCTCAAGACCTCAGGACCTCAGAACTTCAAGAACTCAGGGCCTGAGGACCCAGGACCTCAAGACCTCAGGATCTCAGGACCCAGGACTTCAGGATCTCAGGACCTCAGGACCCAGGACCTCAGGACCTCAGGATCTCAGGACCCAGTACCTCAGGACCTCAAGATCTCAGGATCCAGGACCGCAAGACCTCAGGATCTCAAGACCTCAAGACCTCAGGATCTCAGAACTCAGGACCTCAGGACCTCAGGACTTCAGGACCCAGGACCCTTAGAGCTCAGGCCCTCAGAGTAGAATAACTCAGGGTGTTCTGAAGACAGCAAAGACCAGTGGTTAAGTCCAACAGACTGGGGTTTGGGCCAGGGTTGCCCCACTCAGGGCTGTGTGGCATGAGCAAGTCGCTTGACCTCTCTTCACCTCCGTTTCCCTTCACATAAATCCTTTTTATGCAGAATAAGAAATATCAATTCTTTACAACATTGTATCTTAAACACGTTTGCATATTAATGAACTTTAATGGCCACAGAGCATCCTATTCAGAGTGTATGTATATCTGTGCTAGCTAAATAAATAAAAACATATATCATGATTAAATATATTAAGGTATATATCACTTAACCCTACTGTGTACCAGATACTCCACTAGGAGCCGAGGATACAGGAGTGAACAATGCCTGCCAGAGCCCTGACGTCAGGAAATGTACTTCCCTATCTTTGCCGTCCCCAATTCAGTCATGGTCAGCCCCTGTTCCCAGTTCTCTGCAGCTATTCTTCCCAGCTATCCTCAAGTTCAATGCGTCAGAATGTGTATCCCAATTTTGGGTTCTGAAATCAAGGCCTTGTGTGATGGCAAATGACACTTCCAACGACCATCAGCAAATGTCCTTCTTGTTTTTGGTAATTACCTTTGGATAAATTCCTAGGGGTGCGATCACTGCACCAAAGGCTGTCAGCCTTTTAATGACTCTTGATACATACAATCAAACTGTTTTCCAAAGGGGCTGCACCCAATTTACACACTGCCACCGGCAATGTATGGGTGCCATGCCTAGACCATGACTGTGTTAGTCCTGGGTGTCATAATTATATTTCTTAATTTGTGTTAATTTAATAGGTGTAAAATTGCATCTCATTTTAATTTGCATTTCTTTGATAGTGATGAAGGTTGAACATTTCCTTTTGTAAATATACACACATTTGGATAGCTTGATCCATTTATTCATTCGTTATACACTAACCCTGTCCTATACCCCAGACACTGCAAAGTGCCAGAGACTCAGAGATACATAGAACACAGACTCTACCTTCAAGAACCTTATATGTGGCTGGGCGCGGTGACTCACGCCTGTAATCCCAGCATTTTGGGAGGCCGAGTGGATCGATCACCTGAGGTAAAGGAGTCTGAGCCAGCCTGACCAATATAGTGAAACCCCATCTCTACCAAAAATACAAAAATTCACCAGGCATGGTGGCTTGTTTCTGTAGTCCCAGCTACTTGGGAGGCTGAGACAGGAGAATTGGTTGAACCTGGGAGGCGGAGGGTGCAGTGACCCAAGATGGCTCCACTGCACTCTGAGACTCTGTCTCAAAAAACAAACAAACAAAAAAAAGAACCTTATATCCAATGGATAGGAAAGAGAGGAAAGCAAACAAGTTAGCCAACAGTCCTGGTGTGGTGGTAGCACATTCTCTACCATGTGCTAGAGAGGCCTAGTGGACTTGTTGCAAGAAGAGGAGGGACAGAGAGAGGTGACAGAGAGGAAGGCACCCAAGCCAGACTGGGGGATTGAAAAGGGTGTCTCAGCTGCTCCAGATCGGCCTCTGAGGGCCAATGGACAAACTGTCAGGGACCTTCCCTTGTGTTGGTCCATTTGTTTCTTGTGCCATGTGATGTCTTGGCAAGGGGGAGGGCGCCGTTCTATTTGTACATGTGCTTCTGTGTCTCTGCGGTCTATGTGCATTTGTTGTGTGATGCAAGTGCCTGGGTGACAGGTGTTGTGGCTTTGGGTGTGCCCTGTGGTATCTTTGTGCTTTGCTTGTATCGAGTGCACGTCAAGTGTGTTTTCTGGGTGCCACGTGCTAGGGTGCTGTGCTATGCGTTCTGCCGTTCTGTGTCAGGCCGATGAGCCTGGGTGGGCCTGGGTTCCTGTGGGTGGAGGGCTGTGGAGATTTGCACAGGGCTCCTGCCAACTGAAGGCCCCAGGTGTGCTGACCCCTTTTGGCCATTGGCCCTGCCTCACTCAACCTTGGCTCCAGTCTCTGCCTCTGTTTGCAGTAAGGTGGGGGGGGGGGACGTCAATCCAGCCTCTCTGGGGTCGGCTCTGTCATCCAGGCAGACTTAGCATCTTCTCTGACAGTCTTCTTTCTGTCAGCTGAATCCCTGCTGAGCCCGGCAGCCTCCCCTTCTCACAGTCCTCCCTGGCACGAGGGATCCCCAGAAGTGGGCAGGCCAAAGAGCTCATTCTCTGCCCTGAGTCACCCGAGGGCTTATGAGAGCCCAGGAGAAACCACCAGTCAGGAAAGGCGCCCAGGAAAAGTGGTATGAGTCACCCTGCATAAGCACTGCCACCCCTGGGCCACTGATTGCCCATGGAGGGACAGCCACTGGCCCCAGAGGCAAAGAAGGTAGAGACTCGATGTGTGGCTTTGTCAAAGCTGTGTGGCTGGGTAGCCAGCAGCCCTCTGCCTCAAATGCCTCCCTGGAATGCCTATGAATCGTCATCATGCTTTGTCACCTGAAACAAATCACCAGGACAAGGCAAGTCCTTCACTCCTCCCTCCTAACGCAACACTCCACCCCCCACACACAAAATGCAAACACAATTAGCATTTTTTAAAAAACAGTTTATGGAGATATATTTCACAGACAGCCATACGGTCCATCCATTTAATGCGCACACAGGTCAGTGGTTTTCAGTATATTCACAGAATTATGCAACCATCATTACAGGCTATCGAATGTTTTCATCACCCTAGAGAAAAAACCCATGCCCATCAGCCTCACTCTCAGACCCCTCTCTCCTCTAGCCCTAAGCAACCCTAATCTAATTCCTGTCTCTACAGAAGTGCACATCCTGGACTTTTCATATAAACGAATTATACAGGCCGGGCGAGGTGGCTCAGCCTGTAATCCCAGCACTTTGGGAGGCCGAGGCGGGTGGATCACGAGGTCAGGAGATCGAGACCATCCTGGCTAACACGGTGAAACCCCATCTCTACTAAAAATACAAAAAATTAGCCGGGCGTGGTGGTGGGCGCCTGTAGTCCCAGCTACTCGGGAGGCTGAGGCAGGAGAATGGCGTGAACCCAGGAGGCGGAGCTTGCAGTGAGCCGAGATTGCACCACCACACTCCAGCCCGGGCGACAGAGTGAGACTCCGTCTCAAAAATAAATAAATAAATAAACAGAATTATACAATATGTGATCTTTTGTGACTGGCTTCTTTGACTTAGGATAATGTTTTCAAAGTTCATCCATGTGGTAGCATGCATCAGTATTTTAATCCTTTTTATCGCCGAATAATATTCCCCTTTATAGATGGAACTGTTTTATTCACAGACCCATCAACTGATGGACATTTGAGTTGCTTCCACTTTTTGGCTATCGTCAAACATGTTGCTAGATGTAGTTTTTATGTTGCCTGAGAACATACCTAGGAGTGGAATTGCTGGGTCACGCAGTGACTCCATGTTTAACATTTTGAGGGACTGCCAATTTTCCAAAGTGGCTTTTCCAAAGCACCATGTAGCATTTCTACCAGCCATGAATGATTTCTCCACATCCTCACCAACACCTGTGATTTGCCGTGTTTTAAGTAATAGCCATTCTGATCGATGCACAGTGGTATCTTGCGGTTTTGATTTGACTGATTATTATCAATTTTATTACGTTGTTTTTCTATATGTCTTCATATCTTTAATTCATATGCAGGTATAGGTATGAAGTCTGTGGGGTCTTAACACACTCTTTCCTAACTTATCATTTGCAACTTACTTCTTCCCTTACTATATCTTGGAAATCTTTCCATATTAGGACAGGCATATCCATTATTCCACAACTGATATCTACTGTGGTTTTACTGGCAATCCTCTGTAGATATACATTGAACTGGCTTCACATTTTCACTCTCTCAAGTAATGCTTCAATCTAAACATCCGTGGACATGCATCTTTGTGTATGTGTGTGAGTGACGCAGACTTCCTAGAAGCAGAATTGCTGATTCGAAGGAGAAGAATAATTTAAACTGTGCCAGGACTCGCCAGAGCGAAGTTCAATGAGGCTGTGATAATTCACATCACCGATAATAGCATTTGAGAACACAGACAGACTTCTAACTGCTAGGTCTATACACGGTTGTAGTGAGTTTTCTCTGAAAGTCATGCATTCCCTTTCATAGGAAGTCTTTAAGCAGAGAATGAACTTGGTCGGGGGGCTCTAGAAAATCAATTTCAAAATGGGAGGGGGAATTAGACTTTTTTAAATTTTTGAGACAGAGTCTCACTCTGTTGCCCAGTCTGGAGTGCAGTGGTGACATCTCAGTTCACTGCAACCTCTGCCTCCCGGGTTCAAGCGATTCTCCTGCCTCAGCCTCCTGAGTAGCTGGGACTACAGGCACGTACCACCACACCCAGCTAATTTTCGTATTTTTCAGTAGAGACAGGGTTTCACTATGTCGGCCAGGCTGGTCTCAAACTCCTGACATCAGGTGATCCACCTGCCTTGGCCTCCCAAAATGCTGGTATTACAGGCGTGAGCCACCGCGCCCGGGCACATTAGACCATTTTGAAGGCCCCCATTTTTAAGATCTCTTCCCACTCTGAGAGCTCATGAGTCTGTGAAATGCCTCCACCAGGTGGTGAAGGGTTTCCCAGCTCACACCTGCTGCCATTTCCACACAACCCTGGCTTATCAGCATATTCCAAATATAACTGGAGGCCCAAATGGACCAGTCCCTGTGCAGGATCAATTCAAGGAATCTGTAGTCTGACAGCAAAATATAGCTGAAAGCAATTGTAATTTATGTACACCTCTGGGGAAGCCTCTACAGGGAAATTGTGCCCGTGTATATAGGGAGGACAGGGTACATTCTCAATGCATAGCAAAATATAAATATTTCTTCTCCTTTTGCCACTCTCAATACACACACATCTGGCAGACATTCCTCAAATATCTTTTCCTTTTCTCCACCCTCAGTCCCAATTTAAAATTTTCCCTATTTTCTTTCCTCCCCACCCTCTTTCTCTTCCCTTTTAATCTTTTCTCTCGGAACAGCTCTCTTCTTTCCAATGCAAATCTCCTGACCGCCCTTCCTCAGTCCCCAGCCTTTCTATCCAGCTCTGCATTATAAAAGCTGAGGGTCTGAGCTGGCAAAGGTGGAACCCCGTCTAGAAGGCTGGAAAGGGTTGCTGGGGAACTGAACAGGCAAAGAATAAATTATTTTCATTTAGAGGCGGAAGGGAATGAGAATGGGAATGTTCACACACCAGCAATTTTTGTCCCATGTCAGAGTGGGCCCAGTTCTAAGCATGCAAACCTATTTGAGGGGGGCAAGTTAGCCCAGTTAAATTCAAACAACATGTGATTTAAGAAACAACCAGTCATTATGGCTTATCAATGTATTTGACTGAAGACAACCCAACTATTTCTCTTTTTTTTTTTTTTGAGACGGAGTCTCGCTCTGTCACCAGGTTGGAGTGCAGTGGCACGATCTTGGCTCACTGCAACCTCTGCCTCCCGGGTTCAAGCGATTCTCCTGGGCGTGGTGGCGTGCGCCTACAGTTCCAGCACTTTGGGAGGCTGAGGTGGGCGGATCACGAGGTCAGGAGTTAGGGACCAGCCTGGCCAACATAGTGAAATCCTGTCTCTACTAAAAATACAAAAATTAGCCAGGCGTGGTGGCAGGTACCTGTAAGCCCAGCCACTCGGGAGGCTGAGGCAGGAGAATCGCTTGAACCTGGGAGGCAGACTTTGCAGTGAGCCGAGACTGTGCCACTGCACTCCAGCCTGGGTGACAGTGTGAGACTCCGTCTCAAAAAAAAAAAAAAAAAAAAAAAAACCTAGGGAAGGAGGAAGGATGACCCATGAACGTAGCTTGCCCCAGCAGGTTCAAAGTCTAAATTAAGAATTCTCAATCTCTGCTGCACAGCGGATCACCTAGGGAGCTTGTAAAAGTCCCAATGCCAATGCTGTTCCCAGATAAATTAAATCAGAACCTCGGCAGGTGGAATACAGGCATCAGTTTAAAAAAAAAAAAAAAAAAAAAAAAACTTCCCAGATGATTCCACATGCAGCCATGTTTGGAAACCAATGATCCCAGAGGTATAAACTTGAAGGACCAGCACCATGAGCATGGAAGACCACAGAGCTGGGGCAGCCCGGCCCTATTCCCATTCCTGGAGCAGGAGAATCAGTCTAAGCACAATCTAATTACTGTCTCTTCTTGTTCACACTGGCATAACCCACACCTCAGAGATGACTGAATACAAAAATAAATAGGTCTAAGCTCTTGTTAGTTTATTCAGGTTTCCCTGATAACTATGCAATTGGGGAAGCTTCTAAGAAATGTAATATTGTGTCTCTTCAGAATTGTTCAGTTCTATCGGAAAAATAAATATTGAAGAGGTTCATCAGATTCTCAGCAGTCAAGAAAGGCTTCCACTGAAACCCTGGCCATGTCCTCTCACCATTGAGGGAAAGGGAGTCTTGACCACCACCTTGCCCAACACTGAAGGCTTCGAGTGGGAAGGGCAACTGCTGGCTGGAACAGACGCATCTCTGTCCCTTTCTCGGGCTCTGGGACTGTGTCAGCTTCCAGTTCTAGCCATTGGTCCCAGAACTTCAACTGACCAGCTGGGTGATCTTGGGAAGATGCTGCCCCTCCCTGAATCTCAGAGTCCTCTTCTCTTGGGGTCACACACCCTCCAAAGGCAGCCTGCTCCCTCTCTGGACACTTCAGACTTCTAGAAAGTTCTGCCTGACCGTGTTGGCCTCTGTTTGCCAGTTGTTTGTGTCAACCAGTGACACCTGCTTCCTTGACCCAGAGAGAGCCCGGATGAATTCCGCACATGGAGCCTGGGCCTCACCTCTCTTCTCCAGTTTGAGTCCCAGCCCCTCCGTCATCCCTTACAGGGTGCCTTTTCCTTCCCTCCCAACCTTCTGGTTGTCTCTGAAGTTGACACAGTGCAATCTCTAAAAGCATCTTCTGTCAACAATAAAGGAAAAGTTTAAAAGCTCGCATTTAGAGAAATTGGCTAGAAAATTTGATCCAAAGGCTCTCAGACGTGATCATACAAATATGATTTGCATAAACCTCATAATTTTATTTTTGCTGATATCATAATAATATAGGGAGGGCCAGGCTCAGTGGCTTACGCCTGTAATCCCAGCACTTTGGGTGGCCAAGGCAGGCGGATTGCCTGATCTCAGGAGTTCACGACCAGACTGGGCAACAGGGTGAAACCCCATCTCTACTAAAATACAAAAAAATTAGCCGGACGTGGTGGCATGCGCCTGTAATCCCAGCTACTCAGGAGGCTGAGGCAGGAGAATTATTTGAATACAGGAGGCGGAGGTTACAGTGAGCCGAGATCGCACCACTGCACTCCAGCCTGGGCAACAGAATGAGACTCCATCTAAAAATAATAATAATACATAAATAAAATAGGGAGAAGGCCGTTAATTGATCAAGGAAGAAATGCTCCAAACATCACTGCCAGTTCCCATTGCCTTCTAAGTGAATCATTTGTAGCCAATGAGGAACCTAATGAGGAACAAGGAAACAGAGGAAGAGGGTCCCAAGTTTGACACGCCCAGTTAGTCAACACCCCAGCAGGCAGCCCCGTTCCAGGGACCACAAGGAACATCAGGTTGAGTTTGGCACAACCTGGAATGGAAGTGTGTGATTCCAAGTGGATCAGCCAGAAAGACTGGCCCTAGGTTATTCTGCTGTCAGTGAGGCTATGGGCATGAGAAACATCCCCTAAGCTGACACACACCTGCAGAAGGAGCCCCTGCTCAGAGTGGGGGGTCATGCTTCATCTAGAGTCCTTCAGCTTCATCAAAGAACAGCTAAAAGAGATAAGATCATGGAATTTACAATCTCTCCACTTTACAGATGGAGAAACTGAGTCCCAAGTAGGACATGCCTAGGACCATGTAGGAGTGAGTGCCACAAGTCTGGCTTGAAACTCAGACTCAATGGCTATAGCTGGCACCTTTCTTTGTGCTAGGAGTGGACAGGAAGTACTTGCTCAGAGTCCAAGTAGAAGTTCTCTATTACTGCCTTCAAACCATCCCAACACGCGATGGTGGAAAAGCGACCATGATGTATTATTTCTCAGGATTCTAAGGGCATGTGGGCTCCACTGGGCAGTTCTGCTCCACATGATTTCGCAGAGGTCACTCGAGTGGCTGCACTCAGCAGAGCTCCATTGAGGTTTGGGTATCCCAGATGATTTCTCAGCCTCCATCCCGGTGGCTTTTCTCCCCATGGCTCTCCTGCCAATAGTCCAACTCAAGCTTCTCCACACAGAGGCTGGCTTCAAGGAGTGTGAAAGTGGAAGGGGCCTTCTGAAGTTAAGTCTTGAGCCGACATAGCATCGCTTCCAACACATTCTGTTGGTTAAAGCAAGTCATGGCTGGGTGCTGTGGCTCACGCCTGTAATCCCAGCACTTTTTGGAGGCCGAGGCAGGCAGATCATGAGGTCAGGAGTTCGAGACCAGCCTGGCCAACATAGTGAAACCCCGTCTCTACTAAAAATACAAATAATTAGCCAGGCGTGGTGGGGGGGGCCCTGTAATTCCAGTTACTCGGGAGGCTGAGGCAGAAGAATCACTTGAACCTGGGAGGAAGAGGTTGCAGTGAGCCGAGACCGTGCCATTGCACTCCAGCCTGGGTGACAGAGTGAGACTCCATCTCAAAAAAAAAAGCAAATCACATGGCCAAACCCAAAGCCCATGTGGAAGGGACTACACCAAAGCATGATCCCCAGGAGGCAGGGCACCCTGGAGGGGTCAGTCCACCATCACCCCTCCTGGGAAATGCTCCACCATGAGCCCCACTGCAGCCAAAGCACCCGTGTGGCCACAATGAGCACTGACCACAAACTGAGCCTGGGTCTCAGCCCCAGAATGAGTCAGGTGCATGGGCTGCCATTGAGACCTATCCTGCCCAGTGACTCAGGAGCAGAACGAGAGTGAATAATTAGAATCCATGGGGAGATGGGTTGACATTTCATAGGATAAAGGACTTTGGGTCAGAGATGGCCAAAGAAGAAGCAGGCTGGCTCAGGAAGTAGTATAGAGGAGAGCTGTATAGAGGAGAGTTGAAATGACCACTTAGCAGGGTTCCGTGAGTAGGGATGCATTGAGGGGAAGAACATGGAGATGTACGGACCCTACACAGATCCTGTCAGGGCAGGGGAACTCATAACTCTAACATTCTTTCCATACCCCCTTAGCTACAGGCCAGAAAACAATGAACAGGGAGCCTAGAGGCCAGAGTTCAGGGCAGCTAGAACCAGGAATGAGCGCTAGAGCAGTTCTCATCTAGACTCTGCCCTTGAATGACCAGGACTCATTTGTTTTCCTTGCACAATCATCTCCTCTTAAAGCAATAATTAATGAACAATAATCAATTTCCCACCCTACAGTAATAATTTTGAAAAACAAATTGCTTGCTTAAAATGTGTTGATGGCTCCCCATCTCCCCCATTGCAAATCCCAATCCTCAGCTCTTTCTGGACTGATGGGGCCTCTGACCTGCTTTTTCCCCCCATCACTGCCCCTCACTCCCTGGGCTCTAGTCACAAGATGCAAAAATTAACACTCCCCCCAAAGCCTCCCCTGTGTTACAATCATCTACACGTTGCCAATTCCTAGGATGGTCTTTCTTACTGTCTAGGTAGGGTGGACTCTAACTCAACCTTCAAGTCCCCAGGAGTAGGCAGCAGAATGGCAGCGCCTGCTTACTACATACCAGGCATTGTTCTAGGAACTTTATGTGCAGTATTTTTTGTAGTCCATATAATAACCCCATGAGGTAGGAAGCATTTTTATCCCCATTGTCTGGGAAAGGAAATTGAGACTAAGAGAAATGAAGTAACTTGCCACACTTAAACACAGAGCACACACACATCCCCTTCCCTTTTACTTTCCTGTCTTTCACTTAAGCTATGTGTATGACGGTGATGAACAACTCTTTATATCTTCTCTATTCTCACACCATCTATGCCCCCCTCTTCACCCTCTCACTTAACTAAATCTATTTTTCCCTTCCATTGAGAAAATGTTGACTGCTTTTGTTCACTTGTTCAAAAATATTTAAGTACCTATTACATCTTCTTGTATGCAGGATTTCTCCTAATACATTTCTGACTTGCAGCATCAAGGATAGACCTTTTTCTAAGCAAGAGTTTGGGGGAAGTTTGTGGGATGAATAGAGAGACAGATGAATGCATGATGGGTGTGGTGGTGCATGCCTGTAGTCCCAGCTACTTGGGAGGCTGAGGTAGGAGAATCGCTTGAACCGGGGAGGTGGAGGTTGTGGTGAGTGGAGATAGTGCCATTGCACTCCAGCCTGGGCAACAAGAGTGAAACTCCATCTCAAAAAAAAAAAAAAAGAAAAGAAAAGAAAGAAAAGCTGAATAGATGACTGGCTGAGTGGGTGGATGGATGGATGGATGGATGGATCATTGGAGGATGGATGGATGGATCATTGGAGGATGGATGGATGGATCATTGGAGGTGGATGAATGGTTGGATGGAAGATGAATGGATGGATGGATGGAAGATGGATGGATGGACAGATGGATGAATGGATGGATCACTGGAGGTTGGATGAATGGTTGGGTGGAAGGTGAATGGACGGATCATTGGAGGATGGATAGATGGGTAGATGGAATATGGATGGATTGATGAATGAATGGATACATGGATGGGTGGATGGATGGAAGATGGATGAGTGGATGAACAGATAGATGGATCACTGGAGGATGGATGGGTGGATAAAAGACGGATGGATGAATGGATGTCTGCATCAAATTCTAGCTTGGTTACATTGATTGGGAAACCAAGTTTTAATGCCCAAGAGCCCCCAGCTGAGCCCTGCCCAACTCCTAGCATATTTGTCCTGTGTTCCAAGAATAGATGGGATTTTTCTCTATTCATCGCCAAGTTCCCACAGTGGCCATTTGTTTTAAGTGTCCAGGGAAGCTCTGTTGTGGTACAATTAGTCCTTGTTAGCAGGCACTGTAACTGGACTGTAATTTCCAGGCTGTTGGACGGTAATTGCACATGAGCAGCTCAGCGAGGCTCTGCACCTGTAATGACAAGCAGAGCCTCTTCCCCTCTCCACACTGCTCCAAATGCCAAGAAGCAGGTGAGCTCCTGATGCCATATTAGCACGCGGTGATTTTCATTACTAAATGACTCCAGGGCTGTCCAAATGAGGGGAGCAATTAGGCTGATCAGGGGAAGACAAAGCATCTCTTGATGAGCATAATGATGACACAGGCAGAATCGCTCTGGCCTGGGGCAGAGTGTGAAATCAGAGCCCAGGGCTCTACTGTGGTGCAAATCAGCCATGCTCAGTTCCTAGGCCCCTCTGCCTACCGCCTAGGCATCCATCACTGCCCCCAGGGCCTCAGCACCCACAGAGAAGAAACAACCAGTATTTCCACATAATTAGAAGAAATTGCATATCCAATACCCCTCACTGAGATTAGCAGTTATGGAGTGGACTCTTTCCAAGAAAAATGTTAGTCATTGAAGAGGAGTTAAATAACTGAGAATTATTTGCTTAAAAGTTCGTGCTTCTTAGCACAGTAATTAAAATCCTCCTTGATCTCATTTCTGCTGCATTCTCCAGCCATCAAATCTCACAGTCTTTGCCAACACAACAGGTACTACCATGCCTCTGTGTTTTCGCTCATGCTGTTCCATCTGCCTGGAGAGCTCTTCCCTCATCCACCGAAACCCTGATTAGGTTTCAACCACTGACACCGGCCTAATCACTTAAGGCCCCCAGGTCCCCTTCTGGGTTCCTTCTGTGCCTTGTGCACCCTTTAAGCCATCTCTACTTTTCACACTGCACTATCATTTTTGGTCCACATGCAAGCCTCCCCTATTAGACTGTGTCTGTATCTGTGTCTCTAGCACCCAGCAATTATCCAGGGCAAAGGGCCACAAACTATAGTCCAGGGGCAAAATCCAGCCTGTCCCCTGCTTTTGCAAATAAAGTTTCATTGGGATGCAGCCACACCCATTTGTTTACCTCTTATCTGGCTGTTTTTGTGCTACAAAGGCATAGTTGAATAGTTCCAACAGAGACCATGTGTCCTGGAAAACATAAAGTAATTGCTCTCTGGCCCTTTTGTCCTATAAAGGGCCAGATTTATGCTATTTTTTCAACCCAGGGTTTGATAGGATTAATGGAGAGACAGATGGATGCATGATGGGTGGATGAAAAGTTGAATAGATGACTGGCTGAGTGGGTGGATGGGTGGATGGATGGATGAATGGATGGAAGATGGATGGATGAATGGATGGATGAATGGATGGAAGATGGATGGATGGATGGATGAATGGATGGATGAATGGATGGAAAATCGATGGATGGATGGATGAATGGATGGATGGATGGATGGATGGATGCATGGATCATTGGAGGATGGATGAATGGTTGGATGGAAGGTGAATGGATGGATGGATGGTCCAGGATGAGAGATGGCTGAGAGGTCTCCCAGGGCAAACCTTCAATCTACAGCATGACATTATCTTGAGCAGAGATGAGAAATGACTCTTCCAAGGTCATATAGCTTGACTGAGGGAGAGCTGGGGCCAGATCACGGGTCTCTTGCCCCTTTGCCAAAGCACCACCTCCTAGGGCCTGAGATGGAGCAACCCTCCTTCCCCTGGACCTGCAAATGAGAAACTTGGAAAATCCAGAGACCAGCACAGAGGAAACCCCACGAAAACATGTCAAAGTTGCCAGGCCTTGGCAGTCACAGGCCCAGGGAAGCCCATTAACAAAGGCTCCGGGGAATAAAAGCCTGCCGTGATCAGCAGGAGAAGGCACCCTGGACTGGACCATGAGAATCTGGACTCTGGTTCACTAAGGACAAGTGAATTTAACTTCTCTAAACCTGTTTCCTCATCTGCAGAATGAGGATGAAGACAGCTGCCTTAAGGGCGATGGTGCGAGATTCCAGAGAGAAGGTCAGAGGTGAGGCATATAAGGAGCCCAGCAATGGTGCGTTCTCAGGGAAGCTTCTTCTGCAGTGTGGAATTGAAGGAACTCTGCATTAGCCTGCCCCTGCTCCACACTCTGTGCACTGTGACATTCTCACTTTCCTGAGTCCCCAGCTTCTGACCCACCATGTAAGGAGCTTGTCCCATGCAGGTCTGTGTGCCCAGCTCAAGGCCAGTCCCCTTCTTGGAACTCTGGGCCTCATTTCCCCTCACCTAACTCAGGCTCAGAGAAGTCTCTGAGCGGAGATCCCCTCTGTAGCACACCTTGCCAGGACTGGGCTGATGGAATCCAGTCAGACTAACTCCGCAAGTCTTTTCCCCTGGAAGATTTCCAGCTCTTCCCATGTAGAATGATCTCTACTCTCCTGAGAGTCTTACATACACCTGGGTTCAAATCCCTGGCCCTGCTTCTCACTAACTGGATAAAAATGAGTGAATTATTTAGCCCCTCTGAGCCCATGGGCAAACAGCTTGGAAGAGCACCTGCACCCCCTCTACCTCCTCCTCATCCTTATCCCTTTTCTTCCAGCCCTGCTTTTCTTCCTGCCACCCTGATACTGTTCTCCTTCCTGCCCAGCTGCTGAGCTGAATGCTAATGGACCCAGGCTCAGTCTCAGCCGTGGAGCCTTTTCAGGGAATGACGGGTCCAACTCCATGGGGTTCACTTGGGGGAGAGGACCAGGAGGGTGATTCTGCAGGAGCTGATGAGAAGGTCTGGAACTAGCCTTGACGATGAGATCTTTTTTTTTTTTTTTTTTTTTTTTTTTTTGAGACGGAGTCTCGCTCTGTCGCCCAGGCTGGAGTGCCGTGGCGCGATCTTGGCTCACTGCAAGCTCCACCTCCCGGGTTCACGCCATTCTCCTGCCTCAGCCTCCCGAGTAGCTGGGACTACAGGCGCCCACCACCACGCCTGGCTAATTTTTTGTATTTTTAGTACAGACGGGGTTTCATCATATTAGCCAGGATGGTCTCGATCTCCTGACCTCGTGATCCGCCCGCCTCAGCCTCCCAAAGTGCTGGGATTACAGGCGTGAGCCACGGCGCCCAACCGACGATGAGACCTTGAGATATCCTGGCCTTCCTCTGAGATTATCTTAGGTGGACAGAGCTGCTATGACCAAAGAGCTGGTCGCCATCCCAGCTTTGGGCCGCACTTTCCCGTACTGCCAAGAGTCTGAATTGGACCTTCTGGCTCTTAAGATGCTTTCTCATCTCAGCCTGTAGCCAAACCTTACACCCCCACGTGCTGGCTCTTGACACCCAGTCCAGTGCTCTTGTCTATACTCGCAGCTTCTTTCTGTCCTGGCGTATGATTGGAAGATTGACTTCATTTGCAGGTCATTTTTACCGTAAAGGGGAATCGATAAAGGAAGGTCTCCCTCAACCAATCTGCACCCAGGAAATGAACCCACTGGCAAATCCCGACATAGAAGCTAAAACTGAGTTTTTCATTCCAGCGGCAGCCGGTGAGGCCTAGCCCGGGCCACCAGCCCCAGGCTACAGTCATCTCTTGCCCCTCCCCTCTACTTTCTGGGAGTGGCTGGCTGGTGACTCCATGAGCAGAACTGCACGGAAGTCTTCAGTTCTACCTCCAGGGCCTACAACCAAGGCCCGCCTGCCCTAGGAATCCCTCAGATCCTACTCCCTGAAGAGGGTACCATCTGTGGGTGGCTTCCCCGGCTCTGCCAGCCCCTAGCCCCTCTGCCTCCGATGCTCTAACCCTTCCTTAAGCCCCTCTTCCAGGGAGTCCTGGACCTGCTCACCTTCAGCAGGATATACCCTTCCTCCCTCTGCCTTGGGCTCACAGCTTCTCCAGGTAAAATCTCTTTGTATTCCAGTTCTTCATGTTCAAGGGTATGCCTTTGCCTGTTCATGAGTGTGTGTGCGGCAACTGGGCCCATCTGTGTGCATCCGTGTGCTCACTGAATGTGGGCTCTGGGAGCGTGAGGGTCTATGAACATGTGTGTCCATGTGAACATGTGTGTACACATGCACCTGTGTTTTTCTGTGTGTGCATACATGTATGCCTGTGGGCCTCCATGTGCCCGTGTGGGCCAGTTGTGGATACACATATCTTTGTGTTTGTATGGATGACTCTTGTGACTTATAACATCCATGTGTTTCCTGTTTTATGTTTGTGTCTATATGCATACATGAGTGTCGCTGGTAAACTGTCAGGTATTCAGATAACCAGGTCACTACATCTGATCATTCAGATTGGGTGCCCCTATTGTAACAATCATCTGTAATCTCTAAAAGGTCAAAAACAACACCAATATGCCTTCCATCTAGAGAAATCCTGGTGCACTCCAGAACTCCTTTCCATAGCCTGTGCCACTTGGGCCACATAAAATGCATACGAGGCAATAATAATGTTCTCCCCATTTTTATGGATGTGGTTTCTGGGGCTCAGAGTGTGAAAGGGGCTTTCCCAGGGTCACATAGCAAGTCAGTCACTGAGCTGGAAACGGAAGCTGGGGCTCCTGATGCCCAGCCCAGTGCCTTTTAATATGCCTCCTGCTTTTGCTCCCTAGGTATGATTAGAAGGTTAAGGCTATACAAAAATTAGCTGAGTGTGGTGGCATGCACCTGTAATCCCAGCTACTAGGGAGGCTGAGGCAGGAGAATCGCTTGAACCTAGCAGGCAGAGGTTGCAGTGAGCTGAGATTGTGCCACTCCTGGGCAACACAGCAAGACTCTGTCTTTAAAAAAAAAAAAAAAAAAAAAAAAAAGGCCAGGCACGGTGTCTCATGCCTGTAATCCCAGCACTTTGAGAGGCCAAGACAAGCGGATCACGAGGTCAGGAGATCGAGACCATCCTAGCTAACATGGTGAAACCCCGTCTCTACTAAAAATACAAAAAAATTAGCCAGGCTTGGTGGTGGGCACCTGTAGTCCCAGCTACTTGGGAGGCTGAGGCAGGAGAATGGCATGAATCCGGGAGGCGGAGCTTGCAGTGAGCCGAGATCGCGCCACTGCACTCCAGCCTGGGCAACAGAGCAAGACTCTGTCTCAAAAAAAAAAAAAAAAAAAAAAAAAGGTTAAGGCTAGTTTGGATATGCACTCTATTCAAGTCATTCAGCCATTAAAAGAAATGCATTGTTTATCTTGTTGAGTCGTAAGTGTTCTTTATATATTTTGGAAAAAGCCCTTTGTCACATATATTAATGATGTATTTAAAAAGTGGAGGGTTTTCCTTGATATGCAGTCCAGTTTATTTATTCATTTTTTTCCTTTGGTGGTTTGCACTTATTGTGTCTTTTCTAAGAAATCTAATGTCGTGAAGATTTTCTGTTTTTCTTTACAAGTTTTATAGTTTCAGCTTTTATGTTTAGGTCTATAATCCATTTTGAATTAATTTTGTTTGTGGTTTGAGGTAGGGGGTTGAGATTTATTTTTTTCTGTACAAATATCTCGTTGTTCTAGAACCATTTGTTGAAGAGTTACCTTTCCCTACTGGATTATCCCAGAGCCCTTGTTAGAAATAAATTGACCATATATATGTGACCATATATATGAACTGAAGTCTCTATTCTATCCCATTGATCTTTTATGTCTGTCTTTACACCAATACTACACTGTCTTGATGATTGCAGCTGGTAGATTAAGACATTAGAGAGCATGTGTTCCTCTTTGTACAGTCATGAACTGCGTAATGACATTTCAGGCAACATCCACCAGACTGCATCTATGCTCTGCCGGTTGTATAAAAGTATAGTACATATAGTTATGTACAGTATATAATATTGATAATAAATGACTATTTATGTATTTACTATACTATACTTTTTTTTTCTGTTTTTTTTTTTTTTTTTAGACAGAGTCTCAATCTTGTCACCCAGGCTGGAGTGCAGTGGCATGATCTTGTCTCACTGCAACCTCTGCCTCCCAATTTCAAGCAATTCTCCTGCCTCAGCCTCCCAAGTAGCTGGGATTATAGGTGCCTGCCACAATACCTGGCTAATTTTTTTTTTTTTTTTTTTTTGTATTTTTAGTAGAGATGGAGTTTTGCCATGTTGGCCAGGCTGGTCTCAAACTCCTGACCTCAGGTGATCCACCTGCCTTGGCCTCCCAAAGTGCTGGGATTACAGGCATGAGCCACCACACTCAGCCTATACTATACTTTTTATAGTTATTTTGGAGTGTACTCCTTTGCTTATTAAAAAAATTTTAACTGTAAAACTGTCTCAGGCAGGCCCTACAAGAGGTATTCCAGAGAAGGTATTATTATCATGAAAGATGGCGGCTCCATGTGTGTTACTGGCCCTGAAGACCTTCCAGTGAGACAAGACATGGATGTGGGGGGCAGTGATATTGAAGACCCTGACCCTGTGTAGGCCTAGGGTAATGTGTGTGTTCGTGCCTTAGTTCTTAACAAAAAAGTTTAAAAAGCAAAAATGCAGACATACATACATACATACATAAATGTTTGAACAGAAAAACACTTTTAAAATAAGAATATAAGGAAAAAATGTTCTTACACAGCTGTACAAGGTATTCGTGTTTTAGTCTGTTATTGCAAAAGAATCAAACAGTTTAAAAATGTTTTAAGTTTACAAAGAAAAATGTTACAGTAAGCTAAGGTTAATTTATTACTAAGAAAAGGAAAATATTTGTCATAAGTAGTGTAGCCTAAGTGTACAGTGCTTAGAAAGTCTACAGTAGTCAGCCAGGTGCAGTGACTCATGCCTGTAACCCCAGCACTTTGGGAGGCTGGGGCGGGAGGATCACAAGGTCAGGAGTTCAAGACCATCCTGGCCAACATGGTGAAACCCCGTCTCTACCGAAAATACAAAAATTAGCCAGGTGTGGTGGTGCGTGCCTGTAGTCCCAGCTACTTGGGAGTCTGAGGCAGAAGAATCACTTGAACCGGGGAGGTGGAGGTTGCAGTAACCCAAGATCGAGCCACTGCACTCCAGCCTGGCAACAGAGCGAGATTCCGTCTCAAAAATAAAAAGAATCAAAAGAAAAAAAAAGAAAGTCTACAGTAGTGTAGAGTAATGTCCCGGGCCTTCACTCAATGACTCACCCAGAGCAACTTCCAGTCCTGCAAGCTCCACTCATGATGAGTGCCCCGCACAGGTGCACCATTTCTCATCTTTGATTCCATATTTTCACTATACCATTTCTATGTCTAGATGCACAGATACTTACCATTGTGTTACAATTGCCCACAGTGTTCAGTTATAGTAACATGCTGTACAGGTCTGTAGTCTGGGAGCAATGGGCTGTCCCCTATGGCCCAAATGTGTAGTAAGCGATACCATCCAGGTTTGTGTAAGTTCACTCAACCATGCTCACACAACAACGAAATCACCTCACGACACATTCTGCAGAATGCCTCCCCATTGTTAAGCAATTCATACTGTACTTATTTTTTCAAAACTGTCTTACCTCTTCTGGATCCTTTACATTTCCACATAGATTTTTAAACTGGCTTTTTCATCTCCTACTGGGATGATGCTTAAGATTGCACTGAATCTATAGATAAATATGGAGAATGAACACCTTAATAAAATGGGGCTTCCTATCCACAAACATGTATTTCTCCATTTATTTAAAGCTTTGAAATCAGCATTGTACAGGTCTTGTATATCTTTTAATAAGTTTCTTCCTAAGTATTTTATCTTTATTGACTCTATTGAAATAGTATTTTAAAATTTCCGTTTTTCCAATCCTTGATGCCAGTATGGAGGAATACAATGGATTTTTTTTTTTTTTTTTTTTTTTTGAGATGGAGTCTCACTCTGTGGCCCAGACTGGAGTGCAGTGGCACAATCGTGGCTCACTGCAACCTCCGCCTCCCAGGTCCAAGTGATTCTCCTGCCTCAGCCTCCTGAGTAGCTGGGATTACAGACACGCACCACCACACCCAGACAATTTTTGTATTTTTAGTAGAGATGGGATTTCACCATGTTGGTCAGGCTGGTCTTGAACTCCTGACCTTGTGATCCACCCACATCCATCTCCCAAAGTGCTGGGATTACAGGAGGGAGCCAACGCACCCAGCCTACAATGGATTTTTAAAATTTGATTTGCTATCCTGCAACCTTGGTGTTTCTTCTGTTCACACTTAATGTAGTTATCGATGTGGCTGGATTTAAGTTGCCCATTTGTTTTTCATTTTTTCCTGTTGTTCTTTGCTCTTCATTTACCCCTTCACCAGCTTCCTTTAGGTTAATCAAGTATTTCTTAATATTTCATTTTCTCATCTCTATTGGCTTGTTAGCTCCAGCTCCTTTTATTAGTTATTTACCATACACTTGGGCTCATCATACACATCCTCAGTCAACTCTGTTTCACTTCCCACTTCCCACAGGATCCTTCATACGTCCCCTTTACTATTTCCCAGTTTACAAATAAAATAATCTTACAATGGTATAATTATATCATTATATGAACACCCTCCATTCTTTCTGCTATTGTTGCCTATCTTTTGCTTTCCACAGATGTTTTAAATCATGGTTTGTATTATTATTATTATTCATTTAAACTGTCAATTGTCTTTTTTAAAAAATACAATAGAAAAGCAGTTTTGCTCTTTCCTTCCTGGGGACGCAGGTTTCCATCAGGTTGCATTCCTCTTCAACCTGGAGAACATCCTTTGGCAGTTCTTGCTGTGCAGGTCTGCTGCCAACACATTCTCTTAGCTTCTATTTGTCTGAAAATGACTCTATTTCACCTTCATTTTTGAAGTATGTTTTTACTGAATACAAACAGTAAAACTCTCAAGGCTAACAGGATTTTTTTTTCCTCTTTAATCACTTCAAATATGTTATTCCTTTGTTTTTCAGCCTCCACTGTTTCTGAGAAATCAGTGGTAGTCCTTATCATTGTTATCCTATATAAAATGTGTCTTTTTTTTCCTCTGGCTCCCTTCAAGATTTTGTCTTTATTTTCAGCAGGTTGAGTATGATATGGGTGGGTATGAATTTATCTTTCTTGAAATTCTCTGAACTTTTTGTAACTGTAAGTCTATATTTATTTTATCCAATTTTCATCTATTTATTTCTTTAAATATTATTTCTGACCCATTTTCACTCATTATTCTGACCTATATTATATATATAATATTCTGACATATATAATCTATTATTTCAGACCCATATTCTCCTTCTGCAACTTCTATTGCATGTATGTCAGACTATTTGACCTTATCTCATAAATTTCTGAAGCTTTGTTCATTTTCTTCAATCTTTTCTCTGTCTGCTCTCCTGTGATTGGATCATTTCTAGTGACCCATCTTCAAATTTACTTATTCATTCTCTGTCCCCTCTAATCTACTACGAAGCCCATCCAGTGCATTTTTTTAAATTTTAAATTATTATAGTGTTCAATTCTAGAGTTTCCATTTTGTTCCATTCTCTGCTGAGATTCCCTATTGAGTCATTAAGACTATTTTCCTTTAAGCCTTTGAACATATTTATAAAGCTGCTTTAAAGCCTTTGCCTGGCTAAATCTAAGACCTGGGTCATCTCAGGGTAAGTTTCTATTGGTGGGTTTTTTCCTTGACTAGAAGTCACATTTTCCCATTGATGTGTGAGTGAATTCCTGGCTCACAGGCTGTTTCCAGTCTTGGTACACTGTGGATCTCAGAGTTTCAACTCCCACACATCAGTATCTCTGTTTCATTTCTGGCCTATAGAAATTATTCTGTTTTTTTAATATGGCCAGTCCTATCAGAAACAAGACAAAATGATATTTGTACTTGCATGACATCTATGTTTGTATTATTTGCATGTGATTGAAGCTGAGCAGGGAGACTTCAGCACGTGCCCACTCCACTGAGACAAGAAGTCAGAAGCATTTTTTAATACTTGGAGCTATTAACAGAAAATAGCATGAGCTTTTTAGAGTTAGGGAGTTACTCTCACTGCAAGCACTTAAGGAAAGCCTCTAGGTCCATTGTGGGGAGTGCTGTGGAGAGAATTCCTCCATGATGGGGGGCTGGAGCAGAAGAACCCTGTTTTGACTTGTCCAAACATATCACCTTTCAAATATGAAAGTGCCCAGCACAGAGCTGGCACATGATAGATGCTTTTGAAGTGCGTACTGTGATTATTATAGCCAAGTTCAGCTCATCGCGGCCCAGTATGGTGTGGTCTCTCCTCTGGGTGATATTTACCTTTAAGCAGCAAAGAGTTTCAATCCCAGTACCCAGGCCTGAAAATTGCTCCCACCATTTCAGAATAGGAAAGAAAATGTTTCTCAGCTGAAAACCACATTTGCTGGTTATGAAAATGATTCAGAGCATTTTTTTCACATTTCTGCATTGATTCCCAGCCTTCTTGTTTTATTGTACAATAACAGGCCCCGGGATGGAGAATATATTACTGCACAAACGTAAAAGAATCTCTTCCCAGGGAATTGTCTGCATACCAAGCGCTGCGCTTGACGCAGATTTTTTAGTTTAAAACAAAGGCAGCAGGCTGCCAAGAGAGCATCCAGGCTCTCTTTCTCTGTGGCTGGTGCACCAGAGCTCAGAAAGCCCAAATGGACCTCACGTGAGGTCTGGCTTCACGCCTAACCACAGTAGGGCTGGCTGTGAGTGGTGTCTGCCCAAGCCCAGCCCTGGGGAGGAACAGGTGTGCCTCCGATCTGATTGGAGCCAACGGGCTGTTATCCTCATCACCCCCTAGTGGGACTCATCTGTCCACCCCACACTCCTCCACCTAATACTGCAGCCCCTAGGGAGGGGTCCTAATTGTCCTAGTGGTGAAACTCACATTCCCCCTCCCAGCACAACTAAATGACTGAGTAATGGCTCCATCAGCAGCCATCTGATTCGCCTGATCCCAAGGGGAGGAATACACAGACCGGCCGTGCGTGCAGGGCCGTGTGCAGGGATCTCCATCCATCTCTGTCACCCAGGGTGCCCACGTTCATTCGTCAGTCCCTGACAGGGGCTGCTAGTCAGTGGCAAAGCCAGCAACAACGAATGGCCTCTTGGTTCTGTACAAGACCCAGTGTGCAAGACCCAGCTCCCTGCCTGCCTCCTGCCCACAGGGAAGTATAGTAGGTTCAGCCAAGCAAGGTGTGGGTCTTTGGGTGAAAGATGAGGCATGGGTTTCAAAAGGGGGAGGGGCCTGGAAACTTGAGAGACAGAGGAGGCCACGCTCAGGGAGGAGACGGCAAGGAGAATTCCCTGAGGGCAAGACCCTCCTGCAGCCTGACTTGTGCTGCAAAAGTGTCTAATTGCCTTCTCACACCCAACCCCTGGTCATGGGTCAGGCAGCCCACAACCCCTCCCCTAGCCACTGAGGCAAGACGATGCTCAGAAGGAGAAGGAAGCACAGGCAGTCAGTCCTCCCCTGTTTGTTCTGCAGAGGCGGACACATTGGACTCAGCACATGAACCCAAACTGCCCCCTGCCTTCAGCCAACATCCCCAGGAGCCCACTGTCATGGCCAGCCTCGGGAGGGTGCTGGGCGCCACTGCCCCGAGAGACAACGATTTGGCTGCTTTGATGAAGGGTTGCTCCCTGCCCTCCAGAGACCAAGAAAGCCTGCTCCCTGGCCCCTTTCCAAACTTGCCTGGAGGGATCTGCCTGAGGTCTTTCTGCAGGAGCAGAAAACCTGCTCTGCCATGTCTTTTCTCAATACGGAATCCCCTTTGAGGAAAGGGCTTTAAGGCTGGCCCAGGCTGAGCAGAGACAAGATCAGGCCTGATCACTCCTGACTCTGAGCACTCAGGTAAAAGATGAAATGGCGCCTTGATCACCCAGGTTTGCTTCTCTGTCCTTTGGGGAATCCTGGTGGGATTGAGCATCATCCAGAAGCAAAAGGGGTAAAATGACTCCACAGCCAGAAGGATACATAGGCCCCTGGGTACAAATAGCAACTGAGCCTCAGTTTTCCTTGCACATGAAATGGGGATGCTAATCCTTTCCCCCATGCAATTGTTCTCAAGATCTAGAGAGCTCACATATGAAAGTGCCCAGCACAGTGCTGGCCACAAAGAGGGCAGGCAGAACCACATGGGACTGGAAAGGACCCCAGAGCAGGTTAATTTCAAGCCAGAGCCCAGCTTTCCTCCAGGAGGCTGGAGCCTGTTGGATAAGGCTCTATCTAGTAGGAAGGATCACTTGCTCTCAAGTCATGACAGGTTTGGTTTGCTCAGAAGTGAATCAGGAGACAGGCTGGGCGTGGTGGCTCACGCCTGTAATCCCGGCACTTTGGGAGGCCGAGGCGGGTGGATCACGAGGTCAGGAGATAGATACCATCCTGGATAACATGGCAAAACCCCGTCTCTACTAAAAATACAAAAACAAAACTAGCTGGGTATAGTGGCAGGCGCCTGTAGTCCCAGCTACTTGGGAGGCTGAGGCGGGAGAATGGCATGAACCCAGGAGGCAGAGCTTGCAGTGAGCCAAGATGGTGCCACTGCACTCCAGCCTCGGTGACAGAGGGAGACTCCTTCTCAGAAAAAAAAAAAAAAAAAAGTTAATCAGGAGACAGAACAAAGGAGGCAGGAGACTGGCTGAATCCAGGAGCAGGCCTCTTAGCTACACATAGGACAAGAATGTCCCCTGGAAGTAGATTCATCCTGATCCTGACCCCATGAAGCCCTAGCCTGTCCCCAGGCCAAGATGCAACCTGAGCCACCCATTGACTGAGCTTTGCCCCTATTCCCGCTTCTGACCTTCGGCTGACATCTTACCCTGGGCACAACTGAACCCTAATCCCAGTCATGTATCTGCCCTTTTGACTCCCCGAATCTACTTCCGACCCCAAAGGGCCTGGATGAGAATGTGGACAATTCTGTGAAGCCCATTTCTTGTTGTGGAGGAGACAGGTGTAAACATTGTAAAAACCCAGAAGTCCTTGTCCCCCAGCATTTCACAATCCCACATGCCAGAGGGCGGAAGTGTCAGTGACAACCCCACTCTGTTCCCTTATTATCTTCCATCTCATAGCTTCCATAGATATTTGTTTATATTCACAATTAAAGTAAGAAAAACAGCCCATCTGAAAGAGGATGGCAGATCCCAGCTGTGGCCTTGAGATTAGAATCCACAGGCTTCAGTGCACAGCTCTGTCCCATCCTTCTAGACGAAGAACCCCCACCCACCCACCAATGTCACTAGAGATCCCCTGGACACAGAGGACACTTCAGGCCACCTTCATGGACACTCCATTGTGGATGTGCTTCTCTTCTGACTTGGTCACCATTTGCAATCTCCCTCTATCCCCTCCAGCCTCCACCCAACCCTTACCAGCAAGCCACTCTGAAAAAGGAGGTAACTCCATGCCTTTCTCCCTGCCAGGGAGAGTCAGACACTAGATGCCTATTGATTTCTCCAGTTCCACCGGCCATGTTCAGTATCCCAGCCATCTCTGGCAGGGCCAGGCTGGTGACCTAGGCCTTCACGGACTGGACTCTCCAATCAGCATCTGCGTCTGAGCCGGCCAAGCTGGCGCAAGCCCTCCTGGAGTGTGGGGATGGGAGGAAGTACCTCTGTCCTTAGTCCAACTGCAGTTGGGTCAAGAGACAAATGAGTTGGATGTCAAGCATGCCTCTCCCAAAGACACAAGAGGTGACCAAGGGACCCAGTGTGGGGACTCAAGGAGGGGCTAGAACCACAGTTGGGTCCCAAAGTCAGGACCAGGAGCTGACAGAAATAGGATAAGAGTGAGAGCGGGCTGGTGATAAGAAGAGTGAGACACTTGCCATGACCATCAGGGGTGCAGGAGCCCCGGCATAGGCCTGGCACCTGCCGACGATTCCTGGGCCACAGCGTGTGTGCTTGGGAGGGACTGTTTCAGGCCCAGCTCACAGGTTGTCAGGACTATCAGGCTCTCCCCCTCCCCGAGGGCCACAGCTTCAGGCTCCCTCAAGATCCCCGGGAAGCACCTGACTTTACAGCTCTCCCTTTTATTTACAGAGAAAACCTGAATCCAAATAAGGTTTCACACTAGACTTCTCCCAAATTCCACATTCCTGCATCCAACTGCCTACCTAACATCTCTACTCAGAGGCCTGAGAATCATCTCACACCCAGCAGATCCAAAACTGCGCTGACATCCCACTCCCCAAACGCATTCCTCTCACACCCTTCTTCATCTCCAGCCTTCCAGATGCCCCAGCCAAAAACCTAGAGTCATCTTCTCTCTCCTTCTTTCTCTTAGACCCCAGACTCCCTCAGCAAATCTCATCAACTCTATCTTCAAAGTACATCCAGAATGCTGGATGCAGTGGCTCACACCTGTAATCCCAGCACTTTGGGAGGCCAAGGTGGGCAGATCACCTGAGGTCAGGAGTTCAAGACCAGCCTGGCCAACATGGTGAAACCCCGTCTCTACTAAAAATACAAAAATTAGCCAGGTGTGGTGGCGGGCACCTGTAATCCCAGCTACTCGGGAAGCTGAGACCAGAGAATTACTTGAACCCGAGAGGTGGAGGTTGCAGTGAGCTGAGATCGCACCACTGCACTCCAGCCTGGGTGACAGAGCGAGACTCCATCTCAAAATAAATAAACAAATAAATAAATAAAAGTACGTCCGTGACCCAGGCATGTCTCACTGTTACATTTCAATTTCTGCAGTCCCAGCCATCACCTCTTGCCTCCTACTGGCCTCCATGCATGCGCCTTTCCTGCACCATAGTCCAGCCTCCACACAGCATTTGGAACACAAATGGGGCAGTGTGCTCCTTTGCTCTGTCCCTCCTAGGACCCCCATTTCACTCAGCGAGAAAGCCAAGGCCTTTACAATGGACTTCGAGACTCTATGGGACCTGGCGCTCAGCCACCTCTCTGACCCTTGCTACTGCCACTGCCCCCTCCCTTACCCTGCGCCGGCCACGCCAGCCTCTCCTACGCAGGGACTGGATGTGAAGTTTTCCTTCAATCTGGTTCACTCCTCTCCCAGGTATCCACACAGCTAACCCCTCTTGCCTTCCTCAAGACTTTGTTCAAATGTCCCTTTTTTTTTTTTGAGACAGAGTCTCGTTCTGTTGCCCAGGCTGGAGTGCAGTGGTGAGATCTCAGCTCACTACAACCTCCACCTCCCAGGTTCAAGCGATTCTCCTGCCTCAGCCTCCTGAGTAGCTGGGATTACAGGCACCCACCACCACGCCTGGCTAATTTTTATATTTTTAGCAGAGATGGGGTTTCACCATGCTGGCCAGGCTGGTCTTGAACTCTGGGAGCAGTGACTGACGCCTGTAATCCCACCACTTTGGGAGGCTGAGGCGGGCGGGTCAAATGTCACCTTCTCAAGGACGTCTCCCTTGGCCAACTTCACTAGCAAGTCAAGACACTCCCGCCCCCAACCTCTCACCACTCCTGATACCCCTTTGCACTGTCCAACTCTTTTTTTCCCAAGGCTCCTAGCATTCTAGTATATTACATGATTTATTTATGTATTATGTTTAGCCGTTGTTGTCCACCTCCTCCAATAGAATGTAAGCTCATGAGGCAGGAAGACTTTTCACCAACCTATCCAAGTGCCTGGCACATAGCAGATGTTTAATAAACGTTTATTGAATAAATGAACCAGCATGTGCTCTAGAGTCAAACAAACTCACATTCACATCCTGTCTCTGCAATGTGTGACTCTGTGACTGTGGCCCAGGCACTTCCTGCCTCTGATCTGCAGTTCAGCTTTCCCACCTGTGGAATGGGGATTGTGTTATCTACTGCCACCGGTCTGCTGTGAGGACCCACTGAGACAACGCACGTGATAAGCAGAAGCTGCTGTTGCCGTGATGGTAGCTGATGAATGCCCACCACACTCGGCACGACGCACGACTGCAATTGCACCCACGGCACTCAGGCAGCATTCAGAGGGGCTCAGCTGGCGCCCGGATATAAAGCATTCAAGGCTCTGCAGGGGCATCTGCGGAGTCTGTGAAATGCTGCCAGGAAGGAACAGGAATGGTTAGACATCGCAGGCTGCAATTCCAGTGCACGAGGCTAGATTCTGAGGCTAGTGTTCAGAAGCACCATTTCCACATGAATGGACTCTCACAGAGAGGAAATGATTTTAATCAGCTCAAGAAACACAAAGCCCATCTATCTTCCATTGTTTAAGGAAAGAATTCATCTTGGGAGTGGGGCAGTGGAGGTGGTGAAGAGAGTAAAGCCAGGACAGATTTAAATGATAAAGAGCAACTGAACAAGAGAGCACAGGGGCCCCGGACACCACTTGTCATCATAATTCCACGTGTGCCCTTCTCAGCAGTGGGAACGTGGGGTAATGGTAAAACTCGTAACGACGCCAGCCTTTACAGATTACAAAACACTTCCATATCCATTGTCTCATTTAATTTTCCTAAAACCCACTCGGGTTTGGCATTATTCACTCTATGTATTAGGTGGGAAGACTGGGAATCACCGACGCTGCATAAATGGCCTTCAACATGGTACAGAATCTTCCATTCGCTTGTTTACTATAAGCTTGTTTACTATACTATATATTTCTGTATTTCTTTTTTTTTTCTTCTTTTTTTTTTTTTTTGAGACGGAATCTCACTCTGTCACCCAGGCTGGAGTGCAGTAGCTCCATCTCAGCTCACTGCCACCTCCCGAGTTCAAGAGATTCTCCCACCTCAGCCTCCCTAGTAGCTGGGACTACAGGCGCACACCACCACCACGCCCAGCTAATTTTTTTATTTTTTAGTAAAGATGAGGTTTCACCATGTTGGCCAGGCTGGTCTTGAACTCCTGATCTCAGGTGATCTGCCTACCTCGGCCTCCCAAAATGCTGGAATTATAGGCGTGAGCCACTGTGCCCAGCCTCTGTATTTCTTTTTAAATTTTCTATTGATGAATAGCATCCATACAGAAAAGCACCCAAATATAAAATGGATTTTCACTAGGGGAACATACCCACATCGGAAAATAAAAGAACATTGTCAGCAACCCAGAAGCCCCCCTCCTCCCCAGCCATGCTTCCTCCCAGGCACAGACCTCCTTCTCCCCAAAGGTCACCTGACCTCTGTCCCCATCGATTAGCTCTGTCTGTGCTTTAACATTCTGTAAACACAATCATTCCAGATGTATTCTTTTGCTCAACATCACACTTGCCATGTGTGTTGTCATATGTGGTTGTGTATGTTGTCCGTAGCTGGAGTTCATTCATTCATAGCTATTTTCATAGCTGGATCATTCATTCATGTTCATACAGCCAGGTCCATTCATTCATAGCCGTTTTCATAGCTGGATCATTCATTTTCATACGGCCATGTCCATTCATTCATAGCTGTTTTCATAGCTGGATCATTCATTCATGTTCATATAGCCGTGTCCATTTATCCATAGCTGTTTTCATAGCTGGATCTTTCATTCATGTTCATACAGCCATGTCCATTCATCCATAGTAGTTTTCATAGCTCGTTCATTCATGTTCATACGGCCATGTTCATTCATCCATAGTTGTTTTCATAGTGGGATCATTCATTCATGTTCATACAGCCATGTTCATTCATCCATAGTTGTTTTCATAGCTGGATCATTCATTCATGTTCATACAGATATGTTCATTCATTCCATGGCTGTATATTCCATTGTCCAAATATAACAAAATTAATGTATCATTTGAGTAAGTTGGTTATATACATCTAGCAGTGGACTTTCTGTGTCATCATGTGTGTGCATTTTGTTTAAATTTTGTGTTCCAAATGGTTTGGAAAGCAGTGATACAGCTCTGATGAGTGGAGCAACACCAAGGTTCTTCGTTTTGAGTTGAATTGGAAAAAACGACACCCACGCATGTGGAATGGTTTTAAGGAGCAGAGAGTTTAACAGGCAAGAAAGAAGGGAGAAGAAAGAAGGAAGAAGTTCCCCTGTGCAGAGACAGAGGGAGGGGGCTCCAAAGCCGAGGGAGGAGACCCCATGTGCCGCGGATACTAGCCAGTTTTATGAGGAGGCTGGAGGAGGTTGTGTCTGATTTGCACAGGGCTCGGGGGATTGGTTTGAGCAGGCATGTCATTCTCATAGCCCATGAAAAAACTGGCCCTCCCACTTTAGCCTTTTAATATGCAAATGCAGGGCTCCATGATGTTCTACACACGTGGGGATATGTGGGGGTGGCCATGCTGCCAGGCATATGTGGTGGCAAGGAAGAAGATGGCAGAATCCCCATGTTTGGGTGGACCCGGTTTCTAATGTCTGGTATTTGCATATTAAAGGTTGCTGGCCCAGGTCTAAGAGCCAGGGCTTTTCTGCTAGACCAGAAATGTCTCTGGGCCCAGTGCAGTGGCTCACGCCTGTAATCCCAGCACTTTGGCAGGCCAAGGTGGGCAGATCATGAGGTCAGGAGATCGAGACCATCCTGGCTAGCACAGTGAAAACCCGTCTCTACTAAAAATACAAAAAATTAGCCGTGCGAGGTGGCGGGCGCCTGTAGTCCCAACTACTCGGGAGGCTGAGGCAGGAGAATGGCGTGAACCCCAGGGGGTGGAGCCTGCAGTGAGCCGAGATCGCGCCACTGCACTCCAGCCTGGGCGACAGCGAGACTCTGCCTCAAAAAAAAAAAAAAAAAAGTTCCAGTTGCTGCTCCACATCTTCAACAACAATTTATATCATCAGTCCTTAACTTTTAGCCGTTCTGGTGGATGAGTAAAGGATCTCAGCTGTGGTTTTGATTTGTAGCTCCTTGACTAATCAGAGCAAGCTCCTTTTCCATTGCTTATTGGCCATCTGGATTGCCTTATTTGTGAGGTGGCTGTTCCAGTGTTATAGTCATTTTTTCATTATCTTTTTTCTGATTGATTTGTATGAGTTATTTATATATTCTGAAAATGAATCCTTTGTTGGACATATAAGTTTCAGACATGAGGGCTGAGAAGGCTTTCATTTTACCAGATGGCTAGAGAATTGTTTCAGAAAATTATACCTTTACTGTAAATGAAATTCTTCCATGTACTTGGGTCTATTTCTGGAATCTCTATTGCTTTCATCCACCTGTGTGTTTCTTCTCCATTATTAAACTGCTTTATTGCTGAGTTTCAGATGTTTTGGTATCTTATCAGGCTGGTCCCATGTCAGTAGTTTTCTTCTCAGAATTGGCTCAGTTATTTTTTATAGTTTTTTTGTCCAGATGAACTTAGGTTTTATTTCAACAGATTCCAAAAGAAGAAAAATCCTGTGAAATTTTATCAGAATTTCGTTTCTCAGTTAATTTTGAGAAGCACACTCATCTCTGTCAGGCTGAATATTCCTTTCTAGAGCCAGGTCCAGAGAGTTTGAAGCAGTCTTTTCTGTATGCCTCTCAAAAGAGAGTAAAAGGGGTAATGATCTTCATAAGGGTAATGATCAGCTCAGGCTAAACGTGTACCTACATTTTGTACACTTTTTTATATTTTCCATATTTTCTAACTAGCTATTTTTAGCATACAGCAAAACTGTTGGTCTCGACTATTAATGTTGAAATCCACCACCTCACTGAATTCTTCCATTGTTTCTACAATGGCTGACAGTTTCTCAGCCAGCTCTTAGAATCAGCAAGTATATGGCCATTATTTGTGAATCACAACACTGGACCTCCTCCTTTTCAATATTTTTGTCTCTTGTCTAATCTCATTGACTCGTGCTGTGAGAACAATGTAAACTCCACAGTGAGGTTACCCACGAGGCCACGGAAGGAACTGTGAACATAAACCAGCAAAACTGAGAGGATAAAGGTGAGGCTTCTCAACCTCAACATGACTGACATCTTGGGCCAGATAATTTCTTATTGTCGGGGGCTGTCCTGTACATTGAGGGATATTTAGAAGCATCCTTGGCTGCTACCCACTAGATGCCAATAACACTGACCCCAAGTTGTGAAACCATAAATGTCTCTAGACATTCCCAAATGTCTCTTGGGAGGGAAAATCACTTGGAGTTGAAAAACCACTGTTCTAAGGGAAAGCAGCTGGCTCCCCTCCCCTTGAGCTGCTTTGGAGCAAATCACCACAGGGCATCTGTCTTCTCTGTTCTCTTCATTTCAGAGTCCCCAGGGCTATCAGCCCTTTTATCTTCGCCTTTATTCCACCCCTCTTTGACCTCAGACTCAAGAAATCTAGGATTTTCCCCAGCCATCCTTTGCAGATGCTGTTCTCATCTTGCATGCCCTGAATTTAATGAGGATGCATCTCATCTTCTACCATGGTTTTGATTTCAGCTAAACTTTTTAAATGGTGCTAAGAAAATATCAGTCTGAATCAGTTAGACTGTTTTTAGTTGCACGTAATAGAAAACCAACTCAAACTGGCTTACAAAATAAAGATGATTTATTAGCTTGCATAAAAATAGCCCAGTGGTAGTTAAGTTTCAGGTGCAGCTTGATTGGGGCTCCAGTTTCATGTCCCTGTGATTCTCCGAGCTCCAGCCTCTTCTGCATGCTGGCTCTGTTGTCTAGCTGGCTTTCCTCTTAGAAAACAATAATGGCTGCCCTGTTCCAGACCTAACATTTGCACACCATATAACCCAGAGAAAAATAAGGCTTCTCTTCTTCAAAGCTTTGAAGGCAAAAAAAAAAAACAAAAGTCCTGGTATTTACTCTGATTAGAACATCCTAGGACTCTTTGTTTATAACAATCCTAGTGATTGTTTATACCAATCACTAAGCAAGAAAATATCTTGCTTAGCTATTGTCCATCCTTAACTACTCACTGTGGCAGTGGAACTCCACTAACCAACTTGGGGCTTAGAGAAGCGGTGAAGGTCGTTTCAACCCAAACCTTTATATACTTGCAATGGGGGAGGGAAGGATGACAGTGGGAAGCACACCATCTATTCCCATTACGTAGGTTAGTTCATTGGTTTGTGTTAAATTAGTGGTGAATATTGAATTCAATTAAAATTCCTTTTTGGCATCCATTGAGTTGATCCTCTGGTGTTTTCCCCCTGTGATACATTAAAAAAATGTACTATATTAATAGATTACATAATTTTGAAAGGCCTTAAATTTGGAGGAAGAATCCCCTTGAATGTGGTGTTTTATTCCTTTAATATGCTATGGAAATTTCTACCATCGTTTTGTTTAAATTGTTCTTTATGGTGGTTGTGACATTGGTCTGAAGTTTTGTGTTTTTGTGCTAACTTTGTCAAATTTTGGCATGCTGGTTTTATAAAAAGATTTGGAAGACATCCTTACTTCTCTAGGTTCTGGAAGGGTTTAAATAGTATCAGAATCATCTGTTACTTGAACTTTTGTAAGAATTTACCTTTGAGACCATCTGGATCTGGCACTTTTGTGGAGAGGTAGCTTTTTTATAACTTTCTCAATTTCTTCCATTGTTTTTGCTCTATTTAGGCTTTCTACCTCTTATGGGGCTGATTTTAGTCATTTATAGTTCCTAGAAAATATCTATCTCGCGCATTTTTTCAAATTTACTTTGACTAAATTTTTTGTTAAGTTTTTCTGTCCTATTCAATTTCTTTTGGATCTGTGGTGTTTTCTCTTGTTTGTTTCTAATGCAGTGGATTTGAACCGTCTCCTAATTATTTCTCAATTTTATTGTATTTTCCCTCATAAACTTATTGAATTTATTTATCTCAAATAAATTCATTCTTGATTTATTAGCTCTACCATTTTTATTTTATAAATTCATCAATACTTTTTTCTAATTTTTTTGCATTGATTCAGTTGATCTCTAACTTTTCATATTGGATGTTTAATTCATTTGTTTTATTTTTTTCTTGTGTAATGTGCTCTGTAATATTGCAAGATTTGATTGAATAAACAAGAGATTCTAAGGCCAGGCATGGTGGCTCATGCCTGTAATCCTAACACTTTCAGGAGGATAGCTTAAGGACAGGAGTTTGAGACCAGCCTGCGCAACACAGTGAGACTCCATCTCTACAAAACGTTAAAAAAAAATAAAATATAAAATAAGATACAAAATATTCTAGTTCTCAGACACCAAAGTAAGATGAGAGATGGAGACCATGCTGAATATTTAACGGAGGTAGCCTAGAACTAGTTAGGTGAATGACCACGATAAGGATACAACAGGATTGAATGATGAGCCTTAGAATACATTTTGGAGGAGCATTTATTTGTAGAGAGCTATGCTTTAAGTCAGACCCTACTCTGAAGGGTGGCATGAACAATGCAATCTCCTGACCCCAAGCTACAGAGATGGTTAGAAGAAAGTGTGTGGGTTCTGTACAGTTGGGAGCACAGAGAACTGGTGCCTGACCCACCCCTGAGAAAGCTAACACAGCCTGCGGCAACGAGGTAGAAGTCTGCCACTAGGAAGCCACAGCACTCCCATCCCATGGGCACTGAAGCTGAGGGGTCCTCAGGAGGCCAGGCAAAGACAAGGCTGTGCCCCAGAAACAAGACTGGCAGGGGCCCAGTAGAGAAATTGCCAAAGGAACCAGGCAGGTGCTCTAAGAAAGAGTTAACTTTAACCACATTTCAGGTACAAAACTTGGGAAGCCACCTTAGGGGAGTTCTAGTCCAGAAAGAGTTTTCTGTACCACGTTCTTTCTCCTCCTTTCCCTCAGCTTGAAACCAAAATGAGTAGGAAGTGGGCGTGGGAAGGGAGATGTCAGAAACACTCTTACTCACTTAAAAGTATGTTTGTGCTCCAAAGTGATGATATCAAATTTTTTAACTACCTGAGAGTTATCAGAAAAGTAATGAGTATGCTCATACATTCATTGGGTGTCAAGGGAAGAACAACCCAACCAAGCTAATTAAAAGGACAGTCAAATATAAAGACGTTTTCTAATTAAATAGGTCCTAGTTTTTAACATGCTGGTTACTGGCTACACGTGATTGATGTCTTAAGCATTTTAAGAGTAAAATTTCTCTCCAAGCTATATTTCTAAGCATCAATACATAGTATTTTCATTCTCATATATTCTTATCTTTCAGAGATTCTTCATTTTCAGGTTCATTTATTCTTTAACCCAGAAGTTAATATAAGAAAGTTTTTCTTTAGTTTCTAGGTCATTGATTTGCAAGGGTTGCTATTGTCTTGATGTTGCTTTTAGGTTTTATTGTATTGAAGTCAGATGACATAAATTAGACATTGGAGTCATAATTTACAAAGGGGTTAGGTTCTAAGGATAGTGTGTGAGAAAAAGAATTACACATTCTGATTCTCTTACATTTTTCTTTGCTGCTCTTTATTTTCCCCTCCCATCTAGAAATCTTTAATATCACCTCTCAACTCCTCATGACATGAAATGTCACAATAGTTTGTGTTAATGTGAGTCTTTTGCCATTCAGTATGCTGGTTCTTTGTGTATATGTATCCCTTATTAATGGGGACTTTTCTTGTATTATTTCTTTCATAAGTTTCTCTTCTCCATTTTTCTCTGCTCATTCTAGAACTTCTATCAGATATTGGACCCCCTGGAGTGATCTCCTAGCATTGCTATTCACTCATATTTTCCTCATTCTTCCTTTATGTTCTCCTTTCTTGGAGATTTCTTCTGATTTAGCCTCCAATCCTTCTCTTAATTTGAAAAACAGAAACCCACAATTAAATACTTTTTGCCAAACAAAAGAAGCCAGACACAAAAAGTCATACCTTATATGATTCCATCTATATGAGATGTCCAGAATAGGCAAATTCATAGAGATAGAAAGTAGACCAGGGGTTGTCATGGGTTGGGGAGAAATGGGGAGTAGCTGCTTAGTGGATACAGGGTCTCTTTTGGAGTTTTGTTTTGGAACAAGAGAGAAGTGATGGTTGCACAACTAAATGCCTTAAATGGTTAACTTCTTTTAATAAAAATTCCACTTTAATAAGAAAGTAAAATAAATGTTTCATAAAAGCAAGTGAAGGAGAAAAAAAGAAATCAGTAATCATGCTGTAATGTCCAAGGTCTCTTTCTCATTCTCTTAATTTTATTTTCCATGGCATTGATTTTGTGGTTTTTTTAATGAATATAGTATCCTCTCAAATACCTCTGAAGACACCCATTAAACTTTTTTATTCTCTTTTGCTGCTTGTACTACTTCATTTTAGAATTATTTTTAGATATTTATTTATTTTTATCTTCTTTTTTCCTGTTACAGGTTGGGTAGTTTTCAAATATGTTCACAAATCCTTCGATTCTCTTCCTCTCAAGAGGTGAAGCCCAATTCTCCTCCACAGAGCATGGGCTGGACTTAGTGATTTGTTTCTAATGAATGGAAGAAACTGGAAATGATGGTATGCAGCATCCAAGACCGGGTTGTAAAAAGTTTCCTCCTTGCTCTCTCTGTCTTAGATCACTCAGTCTGGGGGAATCCAGCCGCCTATCATGAGGACACTCAAGCAGCCCTGTGGAGAGGTCCATGTAGTGAGAAACTGAAGCCTCCTGCCAACAGCCAGCAAGGATCTAAGACCTCTTTGCCTATAGTCATGTGAGTGAGTCATCTTGGAAGTGGATCCTCCTGTCTTCAGACGTGCACCTCATAAGAGATCTTGAACCAGAACCACCTGGCTAAGCCGTTCTCAATGTCTGACCCACAGAAACTGTGAGATCAGAAATGCTTGTTGTTTTAAGCTGCTAAGTGTGGGGGCTAATGTATTGCTCAGCATAACTCATACAGAGGCTTTCCTCAAATATTTGATAAGGCCCTGTTTAGTTGTTTTCACAGAAGGAGAAAAAGGAAAGTTGTGAGAAGCTGTGAATACCTGGGCAGAGCTTGTCTGCTTGTGGGTGTTGCTTCAGGGTGATCAGGTAGGGAGATGGCCAAAACACTGAAGACCTACAAAGGGTAGAAAGAGGAGATCTCTCATTCAGTTCACCAAGGGCTTCAGGGTCTAAAGTCTCTCTTGGTTCTAGAAGGCAGATGGGCATCTCCTTCACCTGTATCCCCTCCACTCTAGCTCTACCCTTCCCTGCATTGCCAATGACCACTGCACTGCCAATACACCCTTCTAATTGCAAGAAATGTATTGAAGCCTCCTCTCGGCTGTTAGACTTCCACCCACTGTCTTTGACATCATCAGCTACACTTTTTTTTTTACCTACCATTTTATTGGATCCCTGGAGGAAGATAAGATAATGTCTAGTAATTTAACCACAAGTCCCTCCCTTTAACTCCTAATCTTTGCATCGGAGTCTCACTCTGTCACCCAGGCTAGAGTGCAGTGGTGCTATCTTGGCTTACTGCAATCTCTGCCTCCCAGGTTCAGGCAATTCTCCTGCCACAGCCTCCTGAGTAGCTAGGATTACAGGCATGCACCACCATGCCTGGCTAATTTTTGTATTTTTAGTAGAGACAAGGTTCCACCATGTTGGCCAGGCTGGTCTCGAACTCCTGACCTCCAGTGATCTGCCTGTCTCAGTCTCCTAAAGTGCTGTGATTACAAGGCATGAGCCACCACGCCTGGCCTGCATCACTTTATTTTTAACTCATCTCTTGTATACAACTTATAGTTAATTTGTTTGCTTAACCAAATCTGAGGCTTATTTTAACAACTGAATTTGTCTCATTTGTTTTATATGAGTAATAGACATATTTGGTTTTATTGTATCCTCATTTGTGTTGCTTTAAATCTTTCTTGGTGCTCATTCCCTACATGGGTTATCGTATTTGACTGTATGGTTTCCTTCTTATGGATTAGAAAGTGCATTAAGTCTATTCTAGTCTCCTAATAGTTGTCTTTACAATTTTTTTTTTTAAGATAGAGTTTCGCTCTCTCACCCAGGCTGGAGTACAGTGGTGTGATCTCGCCTCACTGCAACATCCGCCTCCTGGATTCAAGCGATTCTCCTGCCTCAGCCTCCCAAGTAGCTGGGATTACAGGCACCCGCCACCACACCCTGCTAATTTTTGTATTTTTAGTAGAGATGGGGTTTCACTGTGTTGGCCAGGCTGGTCTCGAACTCCTGACCTCGTGATCCGCCTGCCTCCACCTCCCAAAGTGCTGGGATTACAAGCATGAGCCACTGTGCCCAGCCGTCTTTATAATTTTATGAGTGATATTTAATCCCGGTATCTTAGCTGTCTCGGTGTCTTACTGTAAAACAGAGGTCTCCAAACTTTTTCTATAAGGGGCTAGATAGTAACAATTTTAGGCTTTGGAGGCCATATGGTCTCTGTCACAACTGCTCACTTGTGCTATGGTAGTATGAAAACAGTCATAGAAAACACGTAAATGAATGAGGAGGCCTGTGCTCCAATAGAAATTTATTTACAAAAACAGGTGGTTTTAAAAAAGAACAGGTGGCAAGTCAAATCTGGCCCATGAGCCATCATTCGCCTACTTCTGCTCTAAAAGATGAGAAAATCGTCACACATATCTTCATGGTGTTGATATCATGCGAACATCATGCAAGATGCTAACATTGGGGAAGAAGAAGTGAAGGGTGCATGGTGCATTTCTTTGCAACTTCCTGTGAATCTATAATTATTTCAAAACAAAACTTTTTTTAAGTTCAAGGAATTGACACAAGGAGGGAAAACTATTTTAACAAGAGCCACCTTGCCAGGTACGGTGGCTCACGCCTGTAATCCCAGCACTTTGGAAGGCCGAGACCGGCAGATCACCTGAGGTGGGGAGTTTGAGACCAGCCTGACCAACATGGAGAAATCCCGTCTCTACTAAAAATACAAAATTAGCCGGACGTGGTGGCTCATGCCTGCAATCCCAGCATTTTGGGAGGCCGAGGCAAGCAGATCACCTGAGGTCGGGAGTTCGAGACCAACCTGACCAACATGGAGAAATCCCATCTTTACTAAAATACAAAATTAGCCAGACGTGGTAGAACATGCCTGTAATCCCAGCTACTTGGGAGGCTGAGGCAGAAGAGTCGCTTGAACCCGGGAGGCGGAGGTTGCAGTGAGCTGAGATCGCACCATTACACTCCAGCCTGGGCAACAAGAGCAAAACACTATCAAAAAAAAAAAAAAAAAAAAAAAGCCACCTTGAACAAGTGTGGAATTATGGAATTATGCAATGGTTATGGAAGGACAACCTTCCCTGGGGTCCAGTCTGAGGGGCCATCACCATCCTGGCTTTCTAGCGGCAGGAAAAAATAGCTTCTAGGGAGGCTGCAGTTTCCTGGCCCACAGCAAAACTGGTCTGATATGTCTGTAGCTTGCCATAGAGAAGACCTGTTCTCCAGCCATCTGGGAGTGACAGAAATCAGTTGTTTCAAGAGACTGGCTGATCCATATAGCTATAGGGATCAGAGCTTTAGTAAGCCTAAGCCCTAAATAATCCCTTTATTGTTTTTTTTAATTAATTAATTTTTTTTTTTTAAGAGAAACAAGATCTTGCTCTGTCACCCAGGCTGGAGTGCAGTGGCGTGATCATAGCTCACTGCAGCTTCAAACTCCTGGACTCAAGGGATCCTTCTGCCTTGGCTTCCCAAAGTACTGAGATTACAAGTGTGAGCCATCACATCTGTCCCCATTTATTCTATAGATGGGAGACTAGACCCACAGTTACAGAGTGAGTTGGAGGCCATGCTGAGTCTAGAGTCTCGTCTTAAAATTTTCCCAGCCTGGGCTTTGTAACTAGAACAACCATCTTATGCCATCCGAACCCCCTCTGTCAAGAGGCCTCTTTCCTGGAGATCTAGGTGCCTTAGCCTTAGTATGTACGCAGCTTACTTTAACGTTGCCTTGAGAATGCCCAAGAGCTTGGAAGCCGGGCAGGAAGGGCAAAGCAGTGTGGGCCTTGCAGTTCACATTGCAGAGGAAACAGCACCCAGAGGCTAAGGAGCTGGAGGTATGCAGTGGCTCTGTTCAAGCCGTGGGCCCCCCATCATAATGTTCCCCGGTTCTCAACATTGTTTGGGAGCTTTCTCTTCTATGATAGGCATCTCATGATTGAACCAAGAAATACTTACTGAGCACCCACTCCAGAGCATACACTGGGCCATGCAGGGAGGGATCAGGCAGTTTGCACAAGACAGAAAGGTCCCTGCCTCTGTGGAGCTTACAGTCCAGTGGAGTATTGGTCCCTCATGGAGCCCACCCAAAGGATACAGGACAAGCATCTTTTCTCTGCCACTGTCCAGCAAGTGAAGATGCAGAGGGAACCCTTTGGCACCAAGCGGGCCCATGACTCTGAGGGCACAGTCCCATGTCTCCCTGAAGGACCTCCCAGGATGGACGGGCCAGTGGCTGGGATAAGAGAGCAAAAGCTCATGCTGGAGAAACACCCACCCGCCTGAGGTCAATCCTTGCAGGACATACTGTCCCGCAGTACTGCTGGACCCATTCCCTGGCGTCCTTACCACCTAGCGCAGCACTCAATAGTTACTTCTTAAATAAAAGGATGAATGAGGAGATTAAGTTAACTTCCTTCAGCTTCAGTTTCTTCTTTTGCAAAATGAAGAGTGTTATAGAGATCAAATGAGGAAGCCGGCTAGGAAGCTAGGAAAGATTTTTGCAGAGCTTTGTGTGTTCTGAAACACAAAGAAGTGAAACAGAATCCAGATTCCAAAGGGCTTCAAGAGGTGAGATGAAAGGCTGCTCCCAGCAAGGAGAAACACACATGGGAAATGCAAATTCCCATGCTGGGGCCTGAAACTCAGCCGCACAAGAATAGGCAGCTACCAGGCCAGGCATGGTGGCTCACACCTGTAATCCCAGCACTTTGGGAGGCCAAAGGGGGTGGATCATGAGGTCAGGAGTTCAAGACCAGCCTGGCCAACATGGTGAAACCCCGTCTCTAATAAAAATATAAAAATTAGCCGGGTGTGGTGGCGGGCACCTGTGTTCCCAGCTACTCAGGAGGCTGAGGCAGGAGAATCACTTGAACCTGGGAAGCGGAAGTTGCAGTAAGCCAAGATCACGCCACTGCACTCCAGCCTGGGTGACAGAGCGAGACTGCATCTCAAAAAAAAAAAAAAAAAAAAAAAAAAAAAGGCAACTAGCAGAACAAGGCTGAGAAGAAGCCTTGGGCGGGGTGGGGTGGGGTTGCAGGTGCGTGCAAAGAATTTTCAGATTATGTTTGCCCAAAGACTTAATGGAATCTTAATAACATTGATGGTGATGGTGATAACTAACCCCTCTTGAATGCTTGCTCTGTGCTAGATGCTGAGCCACGAACTTCACATGCACATCTTGTTTCATCATCTCAGAACCCTGATTCATTCATTCACTCGCTCATTCAATAAATATTTATTAAGAGCCCACATCCTTTACGAAGCATGGTTATAAAGACTATGAAGAAACGTGAACATTTGGACATGACGTTAAATGGAGAAGGAAAGCAATATTCAAAGTCACAACTGAACACTGCAAAACACATGGGGAGGGGTGAGCAGTAAACAAAGGAGACAAAGGCTCTTCCCTACTGGAGCTTATATTCTAGTCACAGCAGGCAGACGAAAAACAAAATGAATGAGTAACATGTAAAGTGGTGTTAAGTGTGGGTTGGAGGATACAGGGGCGGGCATAGCCCTCTGAAATATGATAGAGAGGAAAGACCTCTCTGCGAGGGTGACATTTGAGCAATGCCTAAAGAAGAGTGAGGGGGTGAGGGCAGAGAGTTCTAGGCAGAAGGAACAGCAAGGGCAAAAGCCCTGAGGCAGGCTTGTGTCAGGCATGATGACAGAGGAGCAAGGAGGCAGGATGCCTGGAGAGAAGTGCCAGAGGCAGAAGCAGGAGGAGATGGAGGCGGGTTGGGGGAGGGGGGGTTCTTTGAAGTTATCACAAGAACTTTGGCTTCTATTCTGAATAAGGTTAAGAAACCAAGGAGGAGGGGCCGGGCGTGGTGGCTCACCTCTGTAATCCCAGCACTTTGGAAGGCTGAGGTGGGTGGATCACCTGAGGTCAGGAGTTCGAGACCAGCCTGGCCAACATGGTGAAACCCCATCTCTACTAAAAATACAAAAAATTAGCCAGGCACGGTGGTGCGTGCCTGTAATCCCAGCTACTCGGGAGGCTGAGGCAGGAGAATCCCTTGAACTCGGGAGGTGGAGGTTGCAGTGAGCTGAGATCGCCCCATTACACTCCAGCCTGGGCAACAAGAGCAAAACTCCATCTCAAAAAAAGGGAAGGGAAGGCGGGGAGGGGACGGGAGGGGAGGGGAGGATGGGAAGGGAGAGGAAGGGAAGGGAAGGGAAGGGAAGGGAAGGCAGGGGAGGGGAGGGGAGGGGAGGGCCAGTGAGGAGTGATGGGATTTTACTTAGATTTTAACCTGAGGCTCACTCCATCTGCTGTGTTGGGAAGAAACCAAAGAATGACCTGGACGGATGCAGAAAGTCCATTTAGAGACTCTTCACTCATCCAGGAAAGAGGTCATCCTGGTTCAGAGTGGGGTGGTGGCAGTGGGGTGATGGAAATTGGTCAGAATCTGGATCTATCAGCCACAGGACTTGCTGATGAGTTGGGGTGTAGGGCGAGAAACAGGGGTGGAAGCTGGTGCTCAGGCTTTCCTGTGAGCCACTGCAAGGACAGACTTCCATCCTTCAAGGTAGGGAAGGCAGCAGGAAGAACAGGATAGGGGAGAACATCTGGGGCTCAGGCTTGGATGTCCTACATTCAAGTTGCCTATTGGATGGTCAGTGAAGATGTCAGGGGGACACATGGAGTTCAGAGAACTGGGCTGGAGTCGCCAGCATGCAAGATGATTTAAAGTCATGTGACTGAGTGAGGATCATTACCAGAAAGGGAAAGGTCCTTGCCACCCAGTGAGGTCCCTAAGGGAGGAAGTAACAAAGATAAGAGGCCCAAGGACCGAGTCCTGAGGCAGGAAATGTTTAGAGACATAACAATATAGACGATACAGCAGGTTAAAATGGCCCCCAAAGATATACATTCTACTTTTTGGAACCTGTAAATGTTACCTGATTTGGAAAAGGAGGTTTTGCAAACGTGATTCGATTAATGACTTTGAGAAGGATCCTGGGTTATCTGGTTGGGTCCTAAATCCAGTGACAAGTGTCCTTATAAGACGGGGGCAGAGGGAGATTCAATGAACACCAAGGAGAAGGCTGTGTGGCCACGGAGGAAGGCTGGAAGGATACAAGCCAGGGAGTGCCGGCAGCCACCAAAAGCTAGAAGAGGCAAGGAATGGATTCTCCACTAGAGCTTCTGGTGGGAGGGCAGCCTGCCAACACTTTGATTTTGGCCCAGTGATACTGTTTCAGACTTCTGGCCTCGGGAACTATGAGAGAATAAATTTCTGTGAAATCACCAAATTCATGGTAATTTGTTTCAGCAGCCCTAAGAAACTAACACAAAGGCCATTGGTGAACATGATAAGAGCAGGTATTAAGTAAGTTCTCTCCACATTTTACAGAAGAGGAAAGCAAGTCTCACTAAATTCCCCAAGGTCACAAAGCAGGTAAGCGGAAGGATGGGGGTTCCACCTAGACCTTCCAGGTTCTATGAGTAAGCCCACTCTTACCCATTACCTTTTGCTGTCTCCATCAGTAGACACCCAGGACCCAGCCTCAGTGAGCTGACCCTCCCTGTTCATCCAGCACTGCCCAGCCCACCCTGGGAGCATCCTGCCGTAGCTCAGCCCAGGCACTGGCTGCTGGCCACCGAGCTGTGAGAAAGGTCCTTTCCTACCGTGGACGTCTAGTAGCCCTCCTAGAAAGCAACGGGCAATATGTAGCAACTGTAGATATTCACACCTTCTGACCCCAGGATGCATCTCATTGACCTCTTTCTCAAAGAAGCCACACCCAAAAATGTCATCACAGCATCGGCTATAATAGCATAAAAGTAGAAACAATCTCAGTGCTGAACAGTATAAGCTTAAACAAATTATCATAAATGCATTGATAGATTGAAGAGTAAAAGTAAACACTATGAGGGAACACGGAAAACAATTTTGACACGACATTTACTGCAGAAAGGGGTAAAAAGTATTCAAATTTACAGTTCAAAACTGTAAAAAACATATGGAGAAAAAGACAGAAAAGAATGTACCAAAATATGCATAGTAAGTGGGTTAAAAATGGAAATTTTGACAACTTTTTCCCCGAGTAACTAATTTTTCTATAATTATATTAGCTTTATGATTGATTTTTATATATATAAGAAGGGACACTTTTAGCTTTATAACTTCTTTATAAGAACCAAACCAGGCCGGGCACGGTGGCTCACGCCTGTAATCCCAGCACTTTGGGAGGTCGAGGCAGGCAGATCACTTGAGGTCGGGAGTTCGAGACCAGCCTGACCAACATGGAGAAACCCTGTCTCTACTAAAAATACAAAATTAGCCGGGCATAGTGGTGCATGCCTGTAATCCCAGCTACTTGGGAGGCTGAGGCAGGAGAATTGCTTGAACCCGGGAGGCGAAGGTTGTGGTGAGCTGAGATCACACCATTGCACTCCAACCTGGGCAACAAGAGCGAGATTCCATCTCAAAAAAAAAAAAAAAAAAAAAAGAAGAAGAACTAAATCAGAATGATAAAGACTCATGACTACATGCCATAAATGATTCAGGATCTGGGAGTACTAATTCTGGAGAGGAGCAGACTAAGGGGGTCTTGATTACCATTCTTCAGCACTTGACTGTCATTTGCAGGAAAAATTAGCCTTACTCCGTGTACTACCAGGGAGCAGAAAGAAGACGGATAGGGAAATGTCTCTCTCTTTGTTCAGCATAAGGAAAGACTACAAGAGTAATACTTTCCAATACCTAATAGCCTGGGCTGCCTGGAAGGTGGGGAGCGCCCCTTCACTGGAGGTATTCAAGCCGAGGTCAGAGCTGCAGTTCTCTGATAACAAGGAGGTTGGAAGAAGGCGGAAGAAACCCAAAAGGAAGCAGAAATAGCATGAAAGGGATGATTGGGAACGGGTCAGAAGCCCTCATGGGGCCGAGGCCTTTCCTGCAGTTTTCTATAGCTGGGGCCACTCCTCATCCCTGATGGGTTTCATAAAGGAGACTATATATGGGGAAATTCCCCAAGCTGTAGTGAATGTCATAGAACACAGGAGCCAGAAGACTCTAGAGATCATGTAGGCTGCATCCCCATCACCTCTGAAGACACGGAGATTCAGACAGGCCCAGTATGTGCTGGGGATGCACAGCAGGTCTGTTTAGAGCTGTTTAGAGCGGGGCAAAGGTGTGCTGCCTCCCAGGCCACTCTGCCCTTTGCTAAAGAGCCTGCCAGGGTGGCCAGACTCCCACTCCGGCCCTGCACCACAGTACATGTCTGTTTACCTCCAGAAACAAGAAGAAACTCACAAAGGTTGTGATCCCACCTGGGAAACAAGAACAGAAGCATCAGGGGTCAGAATATAAAGATGAAAGCGATTCCAGTCTGACTTTCTCACTTGGTTCCCTGTATCACACACACACATGCGCGCACGTGCGTGCATGCACACACACACACACACACACACACACACACACACACACACACACACTTGCTTTTCTGGGAAGAAATTAATGACCCCTGGGCCGTTCATTGCTCTTTTACTTGGTGACAAAAACCACTAGTGATCATTCTGGTTTCATACAAAATTAATATTTGATTGAAGGTGATATTTGTTTGGAAATAATGAAATGTCTGTCCAAGCCCAGGCACCACACTGCCCGAAGTGAGAGCGGAATACACCCCATTTCATATTTCATTCAAAGGAAATGCCATCCTGTAATGAAAACAATCGTGTCTATGTCACTGGGCCGGAGTGAGGAAGCCGCAGTGAGGAAGGTGCAGTATTTCCCCAGGAAACACGGGGAAAAGCCGATCAATAAAATCCATCAGACTCACTGCGTTCTGTAAAGCACTTTCTGTATTCATTTATCCCGGACTTGGGAGTAATTATGTCAGGATCTTTTTCCCAAGGACTCTAGGAAAGCAAAGCAACTTTCCACCCAATTCTCTTTCATGAAAGGCTTTGCTTTCTTCGAATGCGTGTTTGCTGTTTATTTCAGCCTCCCAGGCAGCCAAGGGACCGTTCAGGACAAGTTTCTCATCAGCAACAGGTGTCTTATTACTACAGTGGCTCATCGTTAGTGGAACCCCCAGCTTCTGGCTGCAGGAAGTACAGGAAAAATTTGCAAAGGAGGTTACTCTAGCCTTTCTGAAAGTCATGGCCGAGAGCTGATTTCCTATCTCTATTGAGGAGTGGAGGAAGGTGGCCCATTCCTAACGCACTGAAGGGTGAGAGTGGCCTCAGCAGAGACACCTGTTCTTTAAAAAAATGTTTTGAGGCCAGACTCGGTGGCTCACACCTGTAATCCCAACATTTTGGGAGACCGAGGCAGGTGGATCACGAGGTCAGGAGTTCAAGACCAGCCTGACCATCATGGTGAAACCCTGTCTCTACTAAAAATACAAAATTAGCCAGGCATGGTGGCATGCTCCTGTAATCCCAGCTACTCAGGAGGCTGAGGCAGGAGAATCGCTTGAACCTGGGAGGCAGAGGTTGCAGGGAGCCGAGATCGTGCTGTTGCCCTCCAGCCTGGGTGACAGAGCGAGACCCCATCTCAAAAAAAAAATGTTTTGAGATAATTGTAGATCCACATATAGTTGTAAGAAATAATACAGAGAGATGCCTGCACACTTTGTCCAGTTCCGCTCATTATAACATTTCGCAAAACTAAACAATAATATCACAATTAGCGTATCGACATTGGTGTAGTCCCCCTAACTTATTCAGATTTCCCTAGTTTTGCTTCTCATTTTGTCTGCATGGATTGAGTTCTGTACAATGTTATCGCCTGTGTAGCTTCATGTATATAACACCACCATCAAGATACTGAGTCATGTCTTTCCTCTCATGACCCTTTTAAAACCATCATTTATTTCCCTGTCCCACGCTCCAGCCGGATGCTGAGCTCCTGGGCCGTCGGAACCATCCTATCTGCAGGTGGCACGTGGCACAAAGCCTGAATCACAGCGAGGGCCCAGTTGTTTGAGTGTCCCCTGTCTGAAATGCTTGGGGCCAGAAGTGGAATATTTGCGTTACACTTATCTTCCTTATCTGGAAGTCCGAACTCCAAAACACTCCAATGAGCAATTCTTCTAGCGTGGGGGCCTCAAAAAGTTTCAGATTTTGAAGCATTTCTGATTTCGTATTTTCAGATTAGGGATACTCAACCTGGGCTTGCTTGTTGAGTAATTAACCTCAGCTTGCTGGTCCATGCAACGGGCACATGACTTACCTCTACTGATGCCCACGCCTGGTTCCAGTGCTGGTTTGGTAACTCTGGGGGAATCCCTGAACCTCTCTGTGCATTTCTGGTCCCTCCAACCCCCCGTCTGCTCAGTTGGTGGCAGAGGCCATGCAGACGTCTTGCCCTGACAGCCGGTGGTGCTGCAGGAGGAATAAGCAATCTGAGTCTCGGAGAATTCAGGCCATGTCAGCAGCTGGAACCCAGTCTAGGACCATGGCCAGGCTTGGTCTGGAAGAGAATGCTGTTTTGTTAGCTTTGCTGGCTGACATGGCCCTCGTCCAGGTGGGACTGACCCTGTGACTCTGCCCTCGTAAGCATCATGTTCCAACTTCTGAACTGACTGGGAGCTCACTGCTAAGGTCGTTTCAGTACATCCCGAATCTGTGCATGGCCCGATTACACTTCCAAACAGAGGGTTTCCCTCAGAAACCAGGCCAGTGCTTCCTTTGACAGGGGCTGAGGGCGATTCATCTCTGGGTCCCTCCCAAGCCTCACACACAGGTCACATTTTTTAATCAAGTGGAATGAGATGTCTCTCCATACCCAGGCCAGGGGTTCATTGCAGCCAAACACAATGAAGGGAGTTGGCATTTCCTGCATCTGCAGGCTCACAAATAATTGGACCCCACAGTCAAGCCCTTTGATCTCCTGTCATGTGTCAGGGTGAAGAAGGGAGGACTTGACTGTAAATGATACCAACATAGCCCCCACTCTCATGAAGCTTATAGTCTAGAAGGAAGAGTGATAAGAATAGAAGCAATGAGATCATCAGGGGAGTACGGGATGCTGTAGCATATAAAGGAAAGGCCCCCAACTCAATCTTGGCAGATCCTGGAAGGCTTCCTGGAGGAAGTGGCACCCAAGATGAAACATAAAGGATGAGTGAGATTAGGCAGATGATAAGGTAGAAGGGGAGGGGGATAAAAGTGCTCCATTAAAAGGCCCAAAGAGGCTGGGTGTGGAGGCTCACACCTGTAATCCCAGTACTTTGGGAGGCTGAGGCAGGCAGATCACTTGAGGTCAGGAGTTTGAGACCAGCCTGATCAACATGGTGAAACCCCATCTGTACTAAAAATGCAAACGTTAGCTCGGCGTGGTGGTGGGCACCTATAATCCCAGCTACTCTGGAGGCTGAGGCAGGAGAATCGCTTGAACCGGGAGGCAGAAGTTGCAGTGCGCTGAGATCGCGCCACTGCACTCCAGCCTGGGTGATAGGGCGAGACTCCATCTCAAAAAAAAAAAAAAAAAAAGGCGGGTGGGGGGGGGCGGGGAGCAAAAGATAGCAGATGCAAACAGGAAACTTTTTTTTTTTTTATGTCTGGCTCTCATCAGGCAGAGGGTGGCAAAAGAAGAGAGGCATGAGATTAGATCTGAGGGGCAAGCAGGACCACAGCATGGAGAGGACTTCGGATGTCATCAGAAGGACATGGAAGCTGTGGATATGTTTGAAGCCAGAGAGTGGCATGAAAAGATTTCATGTTAGAATGCTCCCTCTGGCCATCGAGTAGAAAGTGAATGACGAGGAGCCAAGACTGGAAGCCGTGAGGCTGGGCTGGAGGGAGGACGTGAGGCTTGAACTAAGGTAGGGGATTTGGGGAGGAGAGAAGGGTGCAGGTTCAAAAGATACTCAGAGATAGAATTACAGGACTTGGTGATTTCTTGGGTGAGTGAGAGCGAGCAAGGAAGCCAAGGATTTCAGGCTTAAAGACCAGATGCCATTCTTTTGAGAAGTGCAGTATAGATTCTGAGCAGTAATAGAGTGTGTCAGTTAAGGGCCAGTAAAGAAAACAGAATTCTTACTAAGAGGAATTTAAAACAAGGAACCAGTAACAGAGGTGTTAGAAAAGCTGAAAAGGCAAACGTAGGTGAGGAAGCCCAAAGATGGGCAACTAGGGAACGTCTACCACCCCAGGTTGGAGGGTCATGGAAGGAAGATGTCATTTCCAAATCTTGGGAGCCAGGATCCCCAGCAGGAGCCAAAACCTTGAAGGAACCTTGCAAGTGGGGAGCCCCTGGGGGCTAGAACAGCTGCTCAAGCTGCCTGGTGGGAGCTGAGCCTCAGAGGAGGTGCAGCCATGGCCAAAGATGCTCCAGGGATGGGATGGATGCAGGGGATACCCTGCCTTCCCCCTCCTCCCCATCCCCAGTGTCCCACCTGTCATTGGTGAGGGGTGACTAATGGCCATATCCAAATGGAAGCCAGTTGTCAAGGGAGCATGGAAAACCTGGTTTGCAGGGACCATCCAACCCCACCCCACCTGTGAGGGAGGAAAAATAAAACAGAGGAGGGATGGGAATAAACTGGAAAGCAAACAGTTTCCCTAGCCAGATCCCTAATGAGAGAGATGAATAATTATTTCTGCAATTGGTACTAAAATCTGTTATTCACATAATTATGATTCAAGTTTATAAGAATATGCTTAAATTAGGTCAATCCACATGAGATTACTGGTTATTTTTTTTTTAGGTCAAAACCTCTCCAATAGTGGAAATTATACAGGGCTTGATATTATGAATCTATAGAAACCCCTTTGGAAGTCAACACGTGAAGCTGTGGACAGGGTGTGCCTTAAGGTAGCAGGGAGACTGTGCTGGGAATGGTACTTTCCACTCTGACCCTTTGTATAGTCTTAGAATTTGCATGTACAAGTACCTATTTGAAAACATAGGCTAAAATATTTTTATATGATTTGTAGAATATGGTAGCATTTGTACAAGGTTTTGCTTTTGAGGTTAACATTCTAACAGTGATGGTGTGGAGGGAGATGGTACAGGACCCCAGAGGGAACCGGCGAGGCAGGGTGGGGAAAAGGGAAGGGCAGCCAGGGAAGATCAGACAGACCTCCGCCTGGGCACATCCGGAACATTTCAGATTTTGGATTTTTGGATTGGGAATACTCAACCTGTACCTGCTGGTGGCATGAATGAACCTTAGTTTACCAGTACACGCAATGGGCACATGGCTTATCTGGGGTTGGGCGTCACATGAGAGGAGTCCTCTGTGCTCCCCGCTCAGTCATGCCCAGGCTCGGCCCCCTTTCGTGGTGTGGTCCTTTTGGTCATTCTCCATTAACCCCCTTGTGCTTTTTACACGGCCAGGTGGTAGAAGGCCCTCCAGGATTTCAGGGGTTTCAGGAGAGAGGGCCCTAACTGACAACAGAACCCAAACTCAGCAATCAGAGGCGAATCAGGAGGTGGGATAACCGAGGCGGAGGCCAGTCCATTCCTGCCTCCAGCTGGTGCCCCTGTGGACAGTCAACTCCTGCTCCTGGGAAGAAAAAAAGACAACTTTTGGAAGAGCCTGGCCAGACCCATTGGGGGCTCACAGAGAGACTGGGCCAAATCCTTGATTCACATGAGCAGGGAAGAGAGAGAAAGAACCAGGGCCTGAGGATCAGCACCCCCACTGCTAGAAGATGGCTCTGGACAGGGCCCTCCCTCTCTCTGAGATCCTTCTGGATGAGGGGAGTCAAGGTTAACAGGAGAGGAAGGGAAGGTGGGGGCCAGCTGGCTGTCACCCAGGGCTGACCCTGGCCTCGGGGGTCTGGGGAGGTCTCTGGCAAGAGGAATCGCACACCCTGGATTTTCAAGACACATACCCCCAGAGTTAACGGCGTTCACTCTACTGTATTCCAAACTCAGGGTGGTAAGTGGCCCATTCATTTCCTCCCTCCATTAGAGAGATCATCTGGGTGATGGATCTTGTCACTGACAGGGTTCTGGATCCAAGCCTGGGGCTGACGCAGCTGCTGCTCCTGCTGGTCCTCCATAGAGACAGCCGGGGTTTCCTGTCCCAATCCATCACAGGAAGTCTTCCCTGGGCTCCTAGTCACTCTGGGTGGGCTTCCAGGAATGAGTATTTCATGTTAGAGGGGAGAGAGCCCAAGAACTTCTACCTTTAGGTAGCAGGAAGGACAAGGCCTAAAAGAAGTATGTTCCAGGCCTGGCCCCACAGGATTGCAGGCAGGAGAGGAGCTGGCCAGGTCAGGCCCACTGCAGCAGCAAGTGGCTGGTCAAAGTGACAAGTGATCACCTTAACCAATGGGTCAAGGTGGTGACCAGGGTGGCCGAGGCAAGCCTCAGTGCTGCAGACCATGGGTAAGGCTGACAACTGCCCCCATACAGTAGCTCTAAATCAGAGGACTTATGAAGTCACCTGGAAAACTGTTCATCTGATTCCAGCATCCTGACAGATCTGGAGGATCCTGGGAATGTGTGTCTTAAGAGCTCCTGTGGCTGGAGGGTCTGCTGCAGCCTCCATCCTGGCCTCCAGAGAGGCATGTGGCTGTCACCATACAGATGGCTTAGAACCTCTGACACCTTGCAGTCAGAGTCCTCACTACCCACTCTGGCCGTGAGGCTGCCCTGCGGTCAGCCGAAAGTCCCCACTGTCATTTTGAATTATTGCTCCTGGAAACAGAAATTGCATTAAGGCAGGGGCATGAGGAAGTATCCCAGAAGGTCAGATGATGGCATCAAGTCGGGGCACCCCCATGAACAGCAGTGCAGAGAGCAGGTGCCAAGCAGGAGCCTACTTCCCCCTTCCACTTCTAGTGGCTTCCACTCACTGGTCCCATCAGCAGACTAGGGGGCTGGTCCTGGGGCTCCTGAGGCTGAGCTGGTGCAGAGGAGTAGGAAGATGGAGGAATTCAAGGACAAACAAGAAGTGACCATACACACACACACACATACAGACCCATGTGCACACTCCCCACACTCTTCACACTCACAATTAGAAAATACAGAGGAAAAAAATCAGCCTTACAATATTCTGCAGTCATGTGCCTGTGAATACATGCTTTGATTTTTTTTTTCCTTCCTGTATTTTCTAATTTCCTTCCTATTCTAGCAGGAAACCAGCTCAGGGCACAGAACCTTCAGGGAGGTTTATGTCACAGCAAAAAGCAGAAAGACCTATGTGCCTTTCTGGTTTTGGGTTTTTCCTAAGCCCAGTGGAGGACTTTGAGGACTCACAGATGGAACAGAAGAAGGAAGAAGGTGGGATTTGCTGGCAATGAGTGTTTAGGAAAAATGGGGACTATGGGGTTTCTCACACCAGTTAGAGAGAAAGCTCCACCAGAGGTGAAGGAAGAAGAGAGGTCTGTGGTCCTAGAACAGTGGATTCCTGGGCTCAGCTACCTGACACTGACCTGGGTGGGGGTACCAAGATTCCAGGGAGAAATAGCTGTGAGTGTGTGGGGCCCTCAGCCTGGCCCCCCAACTTTGACAACAATATCTGCTCCCCAAATGAGACCTGGAAGCACCAAAGAATTCCTAAGACTGAAAGGACCCTGCATTCCAATTGTGGGTCCCCCCGAGCCATGCCTAGGAGGGGGTACGGGGAAGAGGGGACTCCCTCACCAAGAGCACACCCCGCACAGAGCATCTTCAGCACAGGGGAAGGGGCCGCGGGATGCAAAGCCACGGCCCCACTCTCAACTGCCCATAGATCTGTTGGAAAGACAAAGCATGACACACAAAAGCGATGAGAAGTGGCCACTCCCAGAGGACAAGTGCTCACTCTCTCCGCAGTGGCCTCTCAATATTCACACCATCGCTGTGCTCACTCAGACACCACTTCCTTCATTTATTTTCCACACATATGGTGGAAGGAAGGGGCTGTGCTCATTAAAAGGAGGAAGGAAAGGAAGAGAAATGGTCTATCCTTTCAAAGAGCATTCAGCCCTGCTGGGGAACATCTGGGTCAGACAGTGGAATATGTGGATGAATCAAACTATTCAGATGCTTAGTGTTGTATAGATAACTTATCTAGAGCATTAACTAAACTTTCCCTTCCTCTTCTAGATGATTGGTCTTTGTAGACATAACTCCAAGCCTTAACCGTCTCACTGGAAAGAGGATGACTTCAAGATGCAGAATAGCGGAATGGTCCTTTGACCATCCTGGAAACCACCGAAACTGGATTCCATCTTGACCCTCCCAATAATCATCCGTGTGGTCCTGAGTAAGTTAGTATCTCTGAGCTTTGCAGTTTCCAGATGGAAAATCGGGGCATCATCACTATTTATTTTAAAGATTGATGTGAGGATTCCCTCAAGAAGCTGCTACTTAAATGAGACGATATCTGAAAAGCACATAGATTAAGTGTAGAAGCTGCGATTATTTAGACAGCAATATGATTTGGGTTTCCTGTCTGCACTGTGGCCTTTAGATGCTGAGGAAGGTGGCCATCTTGCAATTTCAAAGTGAGATCAGCCTTCCCAAGAGGAGACGGGCCATTGCATTGGTCTACTCACAGTTCTGGAGGCTGAAGCTCTAAGATCAGGCTGCCAGCATGGTGGTTGTTTGTTTGTTTGTGACGGAGTCTTGCTCTGTTGCCCAGGCTGGAGTGCAATAGTATAATCTCGGCTCACTGCAACCTCTGCCTCCCAGGGTTCAAGCGATTCTCCTGCCTCAGCCTTCTGAATAGCCAGGATTATAGGCACACGCCACCGTGCCCAGCTAATTTTTGCATTTTTAGTAGAGCTGGGCTTTCACTATGTTGCCCAGGCTGGTCTTGAACTCCTGACCTCAGGTGATCGACCCACTTCGGCCTCCCAAAGTGTTGGGATTACAGGCCACCGTGCCCGGCCAGTGGGTGTCTAATAAGGCCTCTCTTCCTGGCTTGCAGATCACTGCCGAATCACTGTGGCTTCCATGGCCCCTTTGTGCAGGTGAGTGATAGGGAGAGTTCATCAGAGTCTCTCTCTCTCTTTTTTTTTTTTTTTTTTTTTTTAAGAGACGGAGTCTCTGTCACCCAGGCTGGAGTCTGGAATGCAGTGGTGCGATATGGGCTCACTGCAAGCTCTGCCTCCGGGGTTCATGCCATTCTCCTGCCTCAGCCTCCCAAGTAGCTGGGACTACAGGTGCCTGCCACCATGCCCAGCTAATTTTTGTATTTTTAGTAGAGATGGGGTTTCACCGTGTTGGCCAGAATGGTCTCGATCTCCTGACCTCTTGATCCACCCCCCCTCAGCCTCCCAAAGTGCTGGGATTACAGACGTGAGCCACCACACCTGACCTCCAGTGTCTCTTCTTATAAGGACACTAATCCTACCAGATCAGGACCCCTCCCTTATATCTCCTTTAGCCTTAATTACTTCTTTAGAGGTCCCATCTCCATAAACAGCCACACTGGGAGTTAGAGCTTCAATGTATGAATTTGGGGAGGGGACCAAAAGGTTCAGTCCATAACTCCTCGTCTGAGCTTGATGGTGGGATTAGCTGAGCCCAGAAGGCTGCCTGCCCCACCTTTACTCTTTCCCCCGTGATCATTCTGGAAAACAAGACCTGTCTCACTGCGGAGAGACACGCAATATTGAAATTGCTCCCCTAATCTTTATGCGATTGCCTTCTCCCTGATAGAAATATTGCCTCTTGCTGAGTATTTATTGTCCATTTCTCGCCAAAGTATTGACTTTATGTAACAGTTTGATATACATCAAATCCTTTACGGATTTAATAAACTCCTCTGGTCAGCCTTCTGTTGTGAACACAATGAGATTTATGGTCGTCTTGGTGTAAAACCCTTTTTCCTTGAAATTTTCTACTTCCAGATATCAAAAGATAAGAAGGGAAGCATTTATCATCTTGGAAATCTTACCCCATGTCTGCCTACTGGGTATTAGTCAGAAATGACTAGTGGTTAAAGGACTCAAATATGACAAATACTTGACTGCTGAACAGCTGAGGCTGGGAGAAGAGCAGGATCTTAACCAAAAAAAAAAAAAAAAAAAAATTCTTCCCCTTCTCTTCAGAAAGGATTTTTCTTTGCAATTAATCACGAGAGCATGTGGGACAGAGAGCAGCCTGATTTGAGTTGGAAGCATAACCTTGGTAGGACTTGACTAAGAGGTTAACAAGTTGAGTCAATTAGGGACCCACTTAGCAAGTGCATATTTCATGCCAGGTGAGCACCGGACACCTGCGGGCAGAAGCCATGGTGCTGGATGGTGTGGGCGCAGGGAGGGCGGAGGGCACCTGTGTGTGTCAACTGACTCTTCCTCTGGGTGCCTCCAGCTCCCTCTGTCTCACTCCAGGTACCTAATCACCTGCTTATATCTCTTTTAGACTGAACTTAACCACAGCAAGAGCAGCCCCACCAATCCCTTTAGCTTAGCCCCTAGAGAAAGCAATACAGCTGGAGTGTTGACCAAGGGAATAAAGAAATGAATGAACAGGCTGGACGCGGTGGCTCACGCCTGTAATCCCAGCACTTTGGGAGGCCGAGACGGGTGGATCACCTGAGGTCGAGAGTTCGAGACCAGCCTGACCAACATGGGGAAACCCCGTCTCTACTAAAAATACAAAATTAGCCAGGTATGGTGGTGCATGCCTGTAATCCCAGCTACTCGGGAGGCTGAGGCAGGAGAATCTCTTGAACCAGGGAGGCGGAGGTAGCGGTGAGCCAAGATCGCATCATTGCACTCCAGCCTGGCGACAGAGCAAGATTCCATCTCAAAAAAAAAAGAAATGAATGATGAATGAACAAATGAATGAATCTGACCTAGACCAAAAAGGTCAAGGCAGGAAGAGGAAGGCCATCTAAAAAGCTTCTGAAATATATTGGTATTTCTAATTCTCCTTGATCTCCAAAGAAAGTTTCTGGAAGGAAACATTATCTTAACGAGTAGTTAGAGATGATCAAGAGGGAGAAGCCTCTTAAACGTTCTCGGTGCTTCTCTGAAGAACTTATGGGAAAGCGGAGAAGAAATAGAAAAGAGATTTATTGAGTCTCAAAGCCTCCTGTTAAAATTAAATGCGGTGAGAAAAGTGGGTTTCCACATTTAATTGTCTTTCTCACAGTAACTGTGTGTCAGTCTTTTCTAAGAGCCTATTAATTCTGTAATTTAGTGCGGCTAGAGCAGAGAGATCGACGGAGCTAGCGTGGGGTGTTTTTTCCTCTCATTGACTAGCTGTCATCTGGCATGAATGTTAGAGTGGCTTTCTCCTTGAACACTCTAAATACCCCCAAATTAAAAAGTTTTTACAGTCAGTTTAATAATTAAAAAAAAAACTGCTTGCACATCAGTTAGCAGAAATGGGGTCCATGACACCATATGTTGTGATTTTAATTACAGCTAAAAATAACCAGGCTGGCTGGAAGGGCCCTGTGGAAGCCAAGCCCTGGACAGAGAGATGACTCAAGTGGCTCTACTGTGTGTTGGGAGGTGCTTTCAAATAAAAAAGTGATTTATTAATGTGGCCCCCAAACCCACTGAGCAATGCAAGTGTGTACGTTTGATAAATGGCCGGGTTTGCCACGCACCAGCTATCTCCCCTGTCAAAGGCGTTGCTGCAGACGCTGGCTTGTCCTGTGTTTAATTAGGACCTCCAGCAGGACAGGCTTCTTTAGAGAAGGGGTGCTCAGAAGCCCAGGGTCTTCCCCAGGCACTGGCTGCCGGCAGGCGGGGTTTCTGTGACACAGCAGGATCTGGAAGCAGGTGAGACTCAGGGAACGTGGATAGCCATTTTCCCACTTGCCAAGGTCTCTCCTGTGCCTTGATCCCATTCTCCCCACAATAACTCAAGTGCAGCACAGATCCAGTGAGGGGGAAATAGCACACGTCTGCAGAGAAACACAGCCAGCTCTGCCTCGACCACTGTCTTTCTGGACATTCCCGATTCCTTTTTATGTAAGGCGTGAGATAAGAATCTAGAATGTATTTCATTCTAAATAGGTAACAAATGGCCCTACATCTTTTTTGAATGCCTTGATTTAGATTACCTGTTTTATTATAGAGAAAATTTCCTTACAGACTTGAGTCTGTTCATTTCTGTGTTCTGTTCCATGGACTCGTTGGTCCATTCATGTGACAATGTATTTTCATTATTTTTGCAGCTTCATAATTATTTTTGTAAATTTATAGTACAGTGATAAAGAGCCAATGTTATGGCACTTCCATGCATTAAAAAAATTTGGTGAGGCCGGGCACGGTGGCTCACGCCTGTAATCCCAGCACTTTGGGAGGCCGAGGGGGGCAGATCACCTGAGGTCGGGAGTTTAAGACCAGCCTGGCCAACATGGCGAAAACCTGTCTCTACTAAAAAACAAAAAAAATACAACAATTAGCCAGGCGTGGTGGCATGCACCTGTTGTAATCCCAGCTACTAGAGAGGTTGAGGCAGGAGAATTGCTTGAATCCGGGAGGCAGAGGTTGCAGTGAGCCAAGATTGTGCTACTGCACTCGAGCCTGGGCAACAGAATGAGATTCTGTCTCAAAATAAAAAAAAAATTAAACAATTTTAAAAAAAAGACAGAAAGAAAAAGAAAAATTTGGTGAAAAAATAATGGAGGGGAGAATCAAGAGAAAGATAAACAGAAAATACCCAAGAGGAGCTGTTTCCTGGGCATGAGGGGAGGCAAAGAGATGGGATCCGGAAGGAACATGCCGTGACCTCAACAGTACTGGTCTTGTCTTGGTGATAAGTTAGGAGCCAACTCACAGGTCTATGTCTTATTATTATATATTATTATGAGTTATAATAAATATTATATATATTCTTTTGTATACGCTGATTATTTCATTTTAACACAGAATAATAATGAGAAAGAGTTTCTGATGCAAGATGGTGGAAAAAGACAAAGCAAAAACCCTACTTTCAGCCAGGCGCAGTGGCTCACGCCTGTAATCCCAGCACTTTGAGAGGCTGAGGCAGGTGGATCACCTGAGGTCAGGAGTTCAAGACCAGCTTGGCCAACATGGCAAAACCCTGTCTCTACTAAAAATATAAAATTTAGCCGGGTATGGTGGCACGTGCCTGTAATCCCAGCTACTCAGGAGGCTGAGGCAGAAGAATGGCTTCAACCCAGGAAGCGGAGGTTACAGTGAGTCAAGATTGTGCCGCACTGCATTCCAACCTAGGCAACAGAGCAAGACTCTGTCTCAAAAAAGCAAACAACAACAACAACAAAAAAGCAACAACACCTCTACTTTCCACTCCAAACTTTTCTAGTGTTGAGGGGGAATGCATGCATATTCAAAAATAAGGAAGGGATATCTCTGCAGGTTTTAAAGCAAGGCTTCTAAAAGAAATGAAATGCAAAGCAACACAGTAGCAGTATGTGGAGGCTAAAACCACATAGCCCTCCCCAGGCTGCAGCCAAGAGGGATGCCTCCCAGAGAAGGCCAAGAACTGGAAATCACTTCCTGTCCACCCAAGATAGCACCAAGACCTTTTGGACCTGAGTGCCAAGGGGGATGGGACCTAGAAATGAGGTGGAGGCTGCTGAGGCACCACCCCGCTGGAGGCCAGCCCAGCTCAGGATCCACCAGGTGAACTCACAGTGAGGGGGCACAAAGCTGCTGAGGAAGTGGCCACCGTGGAGGGCTCACAACAAACTCTATGAATGAAACCACGTGTGAGGGAAAAGAGATCAAACAGAACATTCTGAGAAGCTACAGGACAAGCATTGTCATCGACTTAAAGAGGTCAAGAAGGGGATTGCAAGCATGACACAAGAAATAAAATGATGGAATAAAAAGGAAATGGCTATGACAGGGAACCAATTAGAAACCTTAGAAATGAAAAAAGAGAGTTAATGAGATTGTAAAACTCAACAGAGACACTGACCAGAAGGCTGAACATAGCCAAAGAACAAAATGGGAGACATAAAGAGCAAACGGACCATAGCAAAAAAGATTAAAAGACTGAAAAATACAAAAGAAAAGTTGAGGGACATGAAAATCAACTCCAAAAGCTTCAATACAGGTCTGCTAGGATGTTCCAGGAGAAACAGAGATAATATAGAATCAGTGCTTGAAGAGATAACAGCTGGGAATTTCACAGAACTTAGGTAAGACGTGAGACAATGGATCTAAAAATTCTACCAGGTGCTGAGCAGGATAAATAAAAGATCCAGGCCAGACGCGGTGGCTCACGCCTGTAATCCCAGCACTTTGGGAGGCCGAGGTGGGCGGATCACCTGAGATTGGGAATTCAAGACCAGCCTGACCAACATGGAGAAACCCCATCTCTACTAAAAATACAAAATTAGCTGGGTGTGGTGACACATGCCTGTAATCCAAGCTACTTGGGAGGCTGAGGCAGGAGAATCACTTGAACCCGGGAGGCAGAGGTTGTGGTGAGCCGAGATTGAGCCATTGCACTCTAGCCTGGACAAGAAGAGCGAAACTCTGTCTCAAAAAATAATAATAATAATAAAATTAAAAATAAATCCATAATGGTAAAACTCCAGAACATAAAGGATCAAGAGGAAATCCTTACAGGTACCAAGGAGAGAGATTACTAGAAAGGAATTAGAACCAGCCCTCCTTCAGGGACCACATAGCTTGTTAATTTAGTGCAGTGAATATCACAGCCTGAGACCAATCTCAGCCCCGTCACTTCCGCCTCTGTGGCTGTGAGCAGGTCGTTTTGCCTCCGTTTCCTCCTCTGTAAAAGAGAGATGCTACTACAAACTGTTTCCCTTATTGAAAATGCTTGGGACCAGAAGTGTTTTTCAGATTTTTCCCAGATTTTGCAATATGTGTATTATACATACTGGTTGAGCACTCCTCATCCAAAAATCCAAAATTTGGAATGTTCTAATGAGCGTCGTCACTTTTGAGCCTCATGTCGACACGAAAAAAGTTTCAGATTTTGGAGCAGTTTGGATTTCAGGTTTTCAGATAAGGGATACTAAACCCATAGTACCTCTCTCATAAGGTTGTTGGAAGGATTAAATGACTTAATCCACGTGAAGGCCTTAGAACAATCCTGCCACAGAGTAAGAGATTGAGAAGTGTTAGTTTTTATTAACTGCACATATTATTCTTGTTATGGTCAAATTCCTCCTAAACAACACGGGAAGTAGGAAGACAATGAGGCTTTGTGCAGTCCATATCTGTTGATAAGGGTGGTCTTCATGGACCAGGAGGGGGACACAACAGGATCTGTATGTGTGGCTCACCCACCATGTATAAGGGGATTTTCATGCAACACCTCATTTGATCTTTGCAATACCTTGAGATGAGTCATAGTATCCTTATCATTCAGAAGAGAAAACTGAGACGCTAAGGAGCTAAGGGGTTTACTCAAGGTCCCTTTGCAGGAAAATAGTGGAGCGAATGGACCCAGAGCTCTCTGACCCTGGTGGGGCGACAGAGGCGGGGGAGGCCAGAATCCTGGACTTGAGTCTGGTGTCCTTTGGGAGCACCTCTTCCAGCCTCAGAAAATGTAGTGCTACCTTGGAGCAGGAAGAAAATAAACCATCCTGATTTCTTATAACAGTTTCAGTAACCAACATGACATTGTGAAGGACGTGCCAATATTTGTAATCTCCCCTGACAAGTTGTTAAGTATTTATAGAAACATTTTCTCTCCTGGCCCCGCTTAAGGAAAATACTGTATCTAATTTCCTCTGGAGACATGTGCTGGGGGAAATCAGAAAGATAATCTGTCATCATAAGTAGCAATAAATAGTCACCCTGAAAGAGTTGCTTGTTTAGCAAAGTTGGTTGACTATTAACAGATTTTCTTTTATTCTTGCCTTTGTGAGAATAAGTTGATGACTTGGAAAGAGGCTGAGTTCCAGAGATGGTGGGGGCAGGAGAAGAAAGATCAAGGCTGGAGGCAGTGACTCCCGAGCTCAGAGTGCAGATACAGGATCAGCATGGGAGAAATCACAGACCACGGGAAGAAGATGGGTATCCAAGTTCCATGGGGCCAAAGCTCCTATGGATCCCAGGCACCAAAGACATTCAGGGATCATCCGCATTTCTCTTTTAGATGAAAGGTGATCTCACTGAACTTGAGAACCAGAAGACCTTGGCTCCAATTTTTCTAGCACTGAGTGACATCCAATTCCTCCCTCTGGGACTCAGTCTTCCCCACCTGTAAAATGGGAAGAGAGGCTAAGGCAGATTATCTATGAGAACTATTTTTGCTTTTACATTCTATAAGAAAGGCCTGGAAAGAGCTGACAGCAAACGGGGCATTAGGATTTTCCCAGACGTTCAGAGCCAGGCCAATCTGTTCTTGACATACTACTTGATCTAAATGCCCCTACACAGAACCCAAGAAGCTGAAACACACCCTCTGCCTCCTTGGCAAATACCTGTGAGCAAACAGCTTTTCCAAAGGCATTAGAGAATTGGGGAGAAGCTCACAACTGCTTATTTTGTGTGAGTCAGGTCACACCTGAAGAACAGAGTTCTAAAGTGCCCTCCAAAATGAGGCGGGAATTGGAATGCTTAGAAAAGCAATTGCTGGTTCTCAGGCTGCCTAGCCTGGAAAGGGGAAGATTCCAATGAACGAGCTCACAATTTACAAATATCTGCAGGATTAAACTGGCGACCCAAGATTCATCTTCAGGTGAGTAGCTCCTAAGGGGGACCCATCAGAGCTGGGCAGGTGGAACAAACTGATACGATTGGAGATGTTCAGAAATTGAATGAGCTTTTTCAGGGGGTAGTGAGCTCCCCATCACTTGGGCTATACAAAGAAAGGTTCATTGACTACCTCTTGGTGACGATGGAGCAGAAATCCCTGGCTGGATGAGGACATTAAACTAACTTACTCTAAGGACCCTTTTAGTCATAGAATCCTACTTTTATTTCCAAGCCTTCTGATAATTTTTGGATCATTCTAGATGTCTTAGGATATGTCAAAATATGTTTGGTCCTCCAAGACACTGACAAGACGGAAGTGTTCCTGCCGCAACAGGGGCAGGAGCAGCAGCAGCGAGAGGACTTTTTCTCTCTCGAACACCTCTTCTCTCAGCCCTCCCTGGTTAGCTTCTGTCCTAATCAACTATCAAGTCTAACTTCAACGCAGAGAATCCAAATGAACAAAAGATGTTGATGGACTAGTACAAAGAAGACTCTCCAACAGAGGCCTCAAGGCTTGCTCAAGGATGGTTTGAAAAGCCAAAGGGTGGCCAGGTACAGTGGCTCACACCTGTAATCCCAGCACTTTGGGAGACTGAGGTGGGAGGATTGCTTGAGCCCAGGAATTTGAGACCAGCCTGGGCAACATAGCAAGACCCTGTCTCTACAAAACATTAAAAAAAATAAAAATTAGCCAGCCGTGCTGGTGCATGCCTGTGGTCCCAGTTACTCAGGAGCCTAAGGTAGGAGGATTGCTTGAGCCTGGGAGGTTGAGGCTATAGTGAGCTATGGTCGTGCCATTGCACTCCAGCCTGGGCAACAGAGTGAGTTCTGTCTTGGAAGGGAAGGGAAGGGAAAAAGGAAAAAGGAAGGAGGAAGGGAGGGAGGGAGGGAGGAAGGAGGGAAGGAAGGAAGGGGGAAGGGGGAGAGAGGGAGAGCAGGGGAGAGAGAAAGGAAAGAGAGAGAGAGAAGAAAGAAAGAAAGACAGAAAGAAAGACAGAAAGAAAGAAAGAAAGAAAGAAAAAGAAAGAAAGAAAGAAAGAAAGAAAGAAAGAAAGAAAGAAAGAAAGAAAGAGAGAAAGAAAAGAGAAACAAAAGAAAGAAAGACCAGCCAAACGGCATGACCATGAAACAGATGAAAGAGGAGCACAGACCCAGGAGCTTGGGAGCCCTCATATTTTAAGCCATGCAAAGTTTATCATGTCAGTCCTGCTTCACCCAAGCCTGGACTCTTGCCACAGAATGACAGAAAATCTGGACTGAGGGGGCCATAGGGATCATCTTGTTCAGCTTCCCATTTCCACCCTGAGAAAACTGAAACCTGAAAGGGTTGATTCTCCCAGGCCCCCCAAAGAAATGGCATAATAAGCTTTTCTAAAATTACAGAAGAAATCACTGGGCCCAGAGTTTGAAAGAATGCTGAAGGAAATCTAAATTTCTCAAGCTGTTGGTTTAAGGAACCTGATGAACATGTGGGCTTAGGGGAAGAATTCTGCTTCTTAACAGCACCACCTGGCATCATTGAAAGATTTCCATTTGACTAGAAGAAGCAGTAGCTTCCAGGCACCCTTGCTGGTGATTTTGCACAGTTATGCATTTTCTCTCAATTCTTTGATTTAAAAGAATCTTGTACTTCCCAGCTGGCAATGTTCTTGGGACCTGTAGTTTATAACAAAGGTCATCTTTTGACCAAACACATTTGGCATTTATAATGACTGGGCTGTGACCTGACTTTAGCTGCTGCTGGTGAAATTTCAGCCTGTATGTAACCTGCAGGCAGACGGCTCTGACCTGGAGATCCACAGACCACTGAGGAGTCATGCTGCCGACGGTACAAAATTGCTCCAAACAGGCCACTGCTGCTCGGCCTGCAGGAGGTTATGTCTGTACATAAGGGTGCAGAATGCCATTCCAACATGGGGAAAGTCTCTTTCAAGGGGGTGTGTTATCCAGAACCTATTTGCATGAAGATGTTCAGGAAATATAGGAGCACGCTGCATCCCCTGGCACCTGGTGACTGGTGAGTCACAGCTGACACAGGGGGAGCCAATCCATTGGCTTGGCTGGGCTATCCAGAGTCTTCCTCCTACAAGTTTTAAATTAATATACACTGTAATCGGTCTCTGAAGAATTATGAATTGGGAGGTCATGGAAAGCCAGGGCCCAGGTAACCACATCTGAGCCATCCGTAAGCAGAATAGAAAAGATCAGGCTGAAGATAGAAGAATGAAAAGTTCCAGCACTTTGGGAGGCCGAGGCAGGCAGATCACGAGATCAGGAGACTGAGACCAGCCTGGCCAGCATGGTGAAACCCAAAAATTAATACATGGTGAAATACAAAATTTAGCTGGGCATGGTGGCGTGTGCCTGTTATCCCAGGTACTCGGGAGGCTGAGGCAGCAGAATAGCTTGAACCAGGGAGTCAGATGTTGCGGTGAGCCAAGATTGCGCCACTGCATTCTAGCCTGGCAACAGAGCGAGATTCCGTCTCAAAAAAAAATTAAGAAAAAAAAAAGAATGAAAAGGTGCTCACATACAGAAAAAAAAAAATAGAAATAAGAGGCCATCAGGCAATGAGGCAGATGGCAGCCTTGTATCCTGATGGCTTTCCTGCTGAGTACCAGGCCTTAAAGGTCCACTGCCGTTCAGCCCTTGGGTTCTGTGACACATCCAGCCAATCAAGCCCTGTCTTTTGCTTAAGCTATGCCAAGGAACTTTTTACTGTTCATTGAATTTAACAAGTACATTATGCAATAATCACATTGCTGAGTTTCTATCATGGACCTCTCTCCCTTTGGAAGATAAGCCCTTTGCAAATGAATTAGGTCATACCATTGGAAGGGAGGTCAACAGTGTTCTCAAGATTTCAACAAGACCTTGAGATACTGGAAGAAGAGGAAGGTCCAGAGGGACAAGGGATTGGCTACCAAAGATATGATCCTCAGAAATGCTGGGCTGGCCCTCAACCCAGTGCTATGACAGTGATTGGGGTCAGCAAAAACAAAGGGCAACTTCTGTGTTGTAGGCTGGGGTGTTTTGTGGGGTGGGGAGGTGAGGAGACATGTAGGACAGACTCCTACTGCTTTGGTGATGAATTCAAAAATGTATTAGGAGAGCTTAATCAACACAGTCATTCTTACAGTTAATAGGTCTAAAAAATCCAGATTAAAAGGACAAAGAAGGAATTTAGACTCCTCAGATGGAAATGCATGGATGTTATATTTCTCTCTCCTTGGCTCACTCCTTCCCCAGCTGCCTAAGCATAACCCATGTCCATCTCCACCATAGGGTTATAAGACCCTCACCTCCCAGTGATGACTTCAGGCCCCGACTCAACGCATCAAGGTCTTTCCAACCAGCCTCAGCCTCAGCCTTGTTAATATCATGCAGGGGTGGCCAGGCACTGTGGCTCATGCCTGTAATCCCAGCACTTTGGGAGGCCGAGGCAGACAGATTGCCTGAGATCAGGAGTTCGAGACCAGTCTGGCCAACGTGGTGAAACCCCATCTCTACTAAAAATACAAAAAAATTAGCCGGACATAGTGGCATGCACCTGTAATCCCAGCTACTCGGAAGGCTGAGGCAGGGGAATTGCTTGAACCAGGGAGGTAGAAGTTGCAGTGAGCCAAGATCACGCCACTGCACTCCAGCCTGGGAGACAGAGCGAGACTCTGTCCCGAAAAAAAAAAAAAATCATGTGGGGGTAATAATAATAATAATAGGAAAAATGGAAACCTGTAGGAAAATATAATTACTCTATACTCTAGGCCAATGACTTACCATGCATCTTTTATTCAATCCTCATAGCAATTGTGGAAAGTAGAGGCAATTGTTATCCCTCATTTACAGCTAAAGAAAAAGAGGCTCAAAGGAGAGGCTCAAAAGAGGCTCAAAAGAGGCACGAGAATCGCTTAAACCCGGGAGACAGAGGTTGTAGTGAACTGAGATCATGCCATTGCACTCCAGCCTGGGCAACAGAGTGAGACTCCATCTCAAATTATATATATACTGTACAGCCGTCATTTTCCATGGCCACTATTAGGATCTAAAGGGGTTGAAGCAAGTCAGAAATAAACCAAATGCATAATTGAAACCTACAAGGTCTACAGGCCACAGGGAGAGTCCTCTGAAGGGGCCTTGACTTTAGGTTTGCACGCCCTGTGATTGTCCCTGGGGAGGCCAGAACTGGGCTGTTCCCACCAGCAGTACCAAGCCCGCAGAGCAGAAATGCACACTGGGAATGGAAGCTTCCAGCCTGTCCCAAGATGACAAAAGAGCCCCCACACTTCCGCACTTGTCATGCCAATCAACGCAGAATGGCCAGGAGGAGGGGAACATTGCCCTGAGTGCTATCAGCACTTCTGGTTTTGCCTTACTGATGAGTGTGTTGGGGAAATCCAGCCAAAGCCCCACTGCTTGCTCTTCTTTCCAGTTTTGCAGCCCTGGCCCCACTGCCCTTCCGCCTCCCACTTGGTTGCAGCTTAACCCCTTTTCCAGTCACTGAGTTGCTCAAATATCCTCCACTGAAAACCCAGGCTTCAGTAGCAGCATTGGCACCTCCTGGGGCAGCCTCTTCTCTCCCAGATCTTGGGACACTCCATCGCCCTCAACTCTGATTCCCCTAATAAGGATGCCAAGATCCAAGAACACTCGGAAAGAATGCGTCTCTCATGGTCACGGGATGCAAGACTCCAGTTCACTGGCCAGGAGGAGGTCCAGGAACCCCAGGGCAGCTCTGCCATTGGCTCTAATGATGGTGCTGGGGACTCATCAGGACAAAAGGTCTCTTCCAAGCCCTAGGTTTGCTCAAATCCCCTGTGTCCGAGTGGTCTTTTCTACCACTTAGTATTTTCAAAAACATTATCACCAGATAAAAAAATAAACAAAAAAATATTAGGGGAAAATCTTTCCCAAGCAGTGAAATAAGACCAATGAAACATAAAAAAATTGTCAGGGGAAATAAGCCTGCCACTCCTGCAGATAAATCTCACCCAAACTGTTCAAGTTGGACAACTTCCATAAGCCTGTGTGTCCTTCCCAATATCGCTTGGTTCTGAGTCTCAGATCATAAAGGTCAATAAAAGCCTCAATTGGAAATCTCACCCCTCCCAGAATAATGATTCTCAGGTTCACAGACAGCCCCATGGCTGGACAGCAGTGTTGGGCCCAAAACATCTCAGCAAAAGGTTAGACTTTGCAAGCCCGATGGTCTTTGCATCTCTAGCACTTAGCACATAGTAGATGCTTTATAATGCCTGTCAAAGTATCTCCCAGGAATCTCATATGTATTAAATATAATTCTAAGCATTGGCGAAATCCCAGCATCTTTTCCAAATGAAATAAAAAGAGGGGTCACAGGACATTTACAGAGCTGTTAGCCATCAACTCACCCTAGGAAGCCCTGAAGTGTAAGCCTCTAAATCAACCTTTTCTGTAAAGGGTCAGATAGTAAATATTTCAGGCTCTGCAAGCCATATGGCCTTGGACACATCTACTCAGCTTTGCTGTTGTAGCTTGAAATTAGCCATAGACAATATATAAATGAATAAGTGTGGCTGTGTTCCTGGAAACCTTTATTTACAAAATTAGCTGCAAGCTAAATTTGGCCGGTCCACCATATTTTGCTGACCCCTGCTCTAAATTGTTAGTAGCATTCAGTTCCATGGTGGCTGCTCCCAAACTCTCCCCAGAGAATAAGATCTAATATTTAGATTAACCTCTAAAAGTTTTACATGTACAACAATATCTGCATTGGCCTATAAGAATTTCCACACACCCAATTAAAATTGCTAAATTAATTGAGTCTCAAAGTGAAAAATAAGTCCAGTAAGAATTACCATAGGAGTCCAATTAGAATTACTGTATATTAATACTAGAAGAAATATAACCCTGTTTCATTTTATGATTGCTCCAATTTAATGTCACCCACAAGGTATAAAGGCAGTCTTTAATACCCTCTTCCTGTGAACCTGAAATCAACCAACCATCCCTCTATTCATCCATCATTTGGTGAAAAATATATTGAATTCTTGCTAAAATTAGCAAGAAGGTCTACAGACCACAGGGAGAGTCCTCTGAAGGGGCCTTGACTTTAGACCTGCATGCCCTGTGATTGTCCCTGTGGAGGCCAGACCTGGGTTGTCCCCACCAGCAGCACCAAGCCCACAGAGCAGAAATGCACAATGAGAACAGAAGCTCCCAGCCTGTCCCAAGATCACAAAAGAGCCCCTACACTTCCACACTTGTCATGCCAATCAACACAGAATGGCCAGGAGTACGGGAACACTGCCCTGAGTGCTATCAGCACTTCCGGTTTTGCCTTCCTGATGAGCATGTTGGGGAAATCCAGCCCAAGCCCCACTGAGTTGTTAGCCACCAACTCACCCTAGGAAGTCGCCTTTCTGGTCCAAGTGCAAACCTCTGAATCAACTTTTTCTGTAAAGGGTCAGGTAGTAAATATTTCAGGCTTTGCAGGCCATATGGCCTTGGACACATCTACCTCAGCTTTGCTGTTGTAGCTTGATATTAGCCAATTTTGTGCCATACAATGGTGCATACAACACATGAGGCCTAGAGAACGTCATGGCCACATGATTAGATGTTATATACATGTATAACCCACAGGGTTCCAGGGTGGTGGGGACACTAAGGGAGGCACAGTCACCTTGGCTGGGGAGAGTTCTGGAAAACTTCAGGGAAAAATATGCCACAGAGTAATGAAGGGTGTGGAGGGCCTCCCTGGGCAGGCAAGAGGGAAAGGACTTTCCAGGCCCACGAGGTAACCTGTGCAAAAGCATGATGGTGTGAAACTGCGTAGTGTGTGTGGGAACTCCAGAGAACTTAGCAAGGCAGAATAAAAAGATGAAAAAGGAGAGTAGCGGAAACTAAGCTTCAGGCACCAGGAAGGGTCTGCATCATGGAAAGCCATGCATGAACTCAGACTTTCTCCGAGGGTACAGGGAGCCCTAGAGGACTCTTCACTTCAGTTCAGATTTGCATCTAGCTAGACCTGATGCCCTATGGAGAGTCTAAAAGCAAGAACATCCAAGAGAGGGATGTTGCAGTAGGCCAGGAGAGCACTGAGAAGGTCTGAACGAGGGCCATAGCAAAGGCGATGGAAGGCAAGAGGTGGTACTTAAGAGGGAACTGCTCCAGGGCTTTGTGAACATGGGCAATTGCACTATTGGTTCCAATTCTTCACCTCTTCTCCTATCCATACCCTTTCCCTTTTGACTTTGAAGCTCCTCCCACTGAACGGGCAGAGTATGGGTTCAGCCCTGTGACTTACTTGGGTAATAGAGTAAGGCAGAGGTAACACTATGCCGTTCCAAGCTGGTGCCTTGAGAGGTTTGGTGTGTTTTTATGGACCTGGGAAGAAGAGGAGAGACACGCCAGCTAAGCCCGGCACAGCTCACTCAGCCGCCAGTGATAACAACAATTGTTTTAAGCCATTGACTTCTGGGGTGGTGTGTTACCCAGCAATAGTTAACTGCTAAGTGACCAAGGCTTTAGGGATGGGAGGAGAGGAAAGAGTCAACAATCACTTCCAGGTAATTTTATTAGTGGGATAAATGGAGATACCATTAACCAGAATATGAAACATAAAGAGGAGGAACAGACTTGGGGGAAAATGCCAAGTTCAGTCTTGAATAAACTGAATTTGAGACAGCTGTGGAGGAGCCCTAAGGAGATAGTCCACAGTCAGATATGGGGGTCTTAGGAAAATGGGAGAGGGATTTAGGCTAGAGATATAGTTTCAAGAAGCATAAGTTTATAGGGAGAAATTGAAGTCATCGGAATTGTAAGAAGAATGGCAGGGGCTGGGGGCGATGGCTCTCGCCTGCAATCCCAGCACTTTGGGAGGCCGAGGCGGGCAGATCACGAGGTCAGGAGATTGAGACCATCCTGGCTAACACAGTGAAATCCCATCTCTACTAAAAATATAAAAAATTAGCCGGGCTTGGTGGCGGGCGCCTGTAGTCCCAGCTACTCGGGAGGCCGAGGCAGGAGAATGGCGTGAACCTGGGAGGCGGAGCTTGCAGGGAGCAGAGATTGCACCACTGCACTCGAGCCTGGGCGACAGGGCGAGACTCCATCTCAAAAAAAAAAAAAAAAAAAAAAAAAAAAAGAAGAAGAAGAAGAAGAAAAATGGCAGGAAAAAGTTGACCAAGGATGAGGTCTACATTTATGTAGGCCTACATAAGGAAGGCCTTGAAGGAAGGCCTACATTTATGGGTCAGGTGCAAGCATTTGACTATTAAACAAATGCACCCCTCCATCCGTCTCCATATCAGCATCTAGTATATAGTAGACACGCCGCAAGTATTTCATGAAAGAAGTAATCAGTCATTGAATGGATTGGTCAGATTATGGCAATCAATAAGAACTCTCACACACCAATTTTGTAAGAAAGTTGAAGCAGCCCCACGTGCTCCTGGCTTTTGAGTAGGAAAAAAGAAGGGGAAAAAAGCTGTGTTGCAGATTTAGTCAGTAACGTGTTATTTGCTCCATCACTCTACTCAAAAGCAAAGGTTAGGGATGGTGCAGAAAAGAGTTCACATAGTAGGGCCAGGACTGCTGTCCTTAGAAAGGGCTGCTTACAAAGCCGGTCCTTGGCTGGCATCTGGGAACTTGAATGGTAGACAGTTCTTTATCCTGATGCAAAATTTTGCCTAAAGGGTAAGAATGGCTCCCTGTGCTTAAACCATTTGCATGCACAATATGGTTTATGCTGACACCTGCTTTTCTTCTGGAAAGCCAGAACCAAATTTGGTCCATGCTAGACACAGAGTACCTAGTGACCTGCTCCCAATAAAAACCCTTGGTAATGAATCTCTAATGAGCTTCACTGATAGACACATTTCAAAGGTGTTATCACAACTCATTGCTGGAGGACTTACGTGTGTCCTGTGTGGCTTCACTAGAGACAACTTTGGAAAACTTGCACCTGGCTTTCTCCAGACTTTACCTCACATGCCTTTTCCCTGGGCTCATTTTTCTTTGTATCCTTTTGCTGTAATGAACCACAGCTGTGACAACAACTACATGTTGAGTCCTGCGAGTCTCCCTAGCAAATCCACCATGGGGAGGATCTCGGGGACCTCCAACACACGTATCGTGTTTAACAATCACTAGCAAACAGACTGAAAGCCATCAAACCCGTATTCAGCAAACATATTTTTCCTTATCCTAATTTATATACATCATCACTTTCACCCCCACATATACAGAAATTTATATAAGCCACATTAACATTAAAAAAATATTTTTCAAATTGATAAATCTCAAAAGAGAAAATTAGAGTGACAGGCTGGGCATGGTGGCTCATGTTTGTAATCCCAGCACTTTGGGAGGCCAAGACAGATGGATCACCTGAGGTCAGGAGTTCGAGACCAGCCTGGTCAACATGATGAAACCCTGTCTCTACTAAAAATACAAAAATTAGCCAGGCATGGTGGCGGGCGCCTGTAACCCCAGCTACTAGGGAGGCTGAGGCAGGAGAATCGCTAGAACCCGGGAGATGGAGGTTGCAGTGAGCCAAGATGGCGCCATTGCACTCCAGCCTGGGTGATGGAACAAGACTCTGTCTCAGAAAAAAGAAAAGGAAATTACAGGGACAAATAGATTATATTCATTTTCCTTTTTACTTGCCTTACTGTACTAATCTGTGGCCACCCTATTTGGTCTGGAGGTTTAGCTCATTATTCTCCTCCTGTATACTGCAGTAGATCACTGCAGAGCCTTGAATTCACAGGAGTACTAAATACTCTCGGTACAGAAAAACTCTTATGTAGTTTATATTTGTGTAACTCTCATCTCTTGTAGAGATATACAACTATCTTTCAAATGTGGATAAGTGTTTGAGGTTAATAAAACACGGACCCATTTAAAAGTGCAATTGCATGTGTAGTAGTGAGCATGGCTATTTATAATTCTATGAAACAAAATAAAATGACTTTAAAAATATATAATAGGCCAGGAAAACAATAAAAAGTGATACTTGTATTTCAGAAATGGTGAACGTTTTTGAGAAATATAAACTGGATTTTATCTGAAATGAAACAAAACCACAGGAAACTGCTGAAGGAGAAGACCCCATTGAAGGGAGAAGTCATTCCAGGGAATTCCAAACTCAAAGGCCTTCAATAGAAGAGAGAGTAGACTCTGGTCATTCAGAGAGGGCATGAGTGGGAAGCAGCACTCAGGGTAGCTGAATCTCTAACAAGCTTCCCTGATAGACACATTGCACAGGTGTTATCACGACTCCTTGCAGCTCAGCCCCGCCCCTCTCCCCTGGACAGATAGTGTTGAGGCCAAGAGTGTGAAGCTGTGTCCAACGTGGCCAGTGAGGCCATCGGACCACACTGACCACGAGGAAGGATGGCACGCTCAGGAAAACGAGCTCCCGATCAAGCCGTCACTCCTGAGTGTGCCCCACCCCTCCTTCATAATAGCCACAGATGGGCCACAGGAAACACAGTGCTCAGGTGTCCTGGAAGTGAGGACACATAAAAACCCATCAAGCACTTACAGAAAACCAACGCTATGTCAGAGAGGAATCACGCTCAATGCACAGATGAACTAAGAGTTCAGTAGCACTCAGAACAGGCTTTCAAAGAGGAATAAAGTATCTCTTTCAAATTAATCAAATACCTGAAAAATTAAAATGTTAACCATCAAAATCTCACTAATAATATATGAAAATATTTTCCCTCTGGACATAGGTAGTAATAGCATAGTATATGAAAGCAAAAACCAAATAGAACAAAGAGTAGACTTGATCAGTAAAATGAAAGCTTTTTAAAAATACCAATAAAATGTACAGATCTCCAGTAATTACAGTGAAGAAATAAGAGAAACAGCAAAATAAATAACATTCAGAATCAGAAACATGCCTAAATTATAGATATGGAAAAGATTTTTTTAGTATAGGAAAAAATTGATAATTTTATCAAATAGATTTTTAAAGTTAGATAAAAATAAATTATTTTCTTGGAAAATTACCTCGATGTACTCAAGTACGGACAGAAATTCTGAATGAATTAATTTTGGAAGAAATTGAAATAATGATCAATAATTACACTCCAAATAGGCACAACATTATGAAGATTTGGGGACCAGTTATACCGAATCCTGAATAAACAGAAAATACCTAATTATATGAAATATTTCAGATGAAGTTTCCATAGAATTTATCTCAATTCATTCTGTAAGTTATCCATAACCATGATACCAAAACTGAGTAAGTGTAACACCAAAAAATATCCTGAAAGCCAATCTCATTCAAGCTCTTGAATGTGAAAATGTTAAATAATATATTTGCATATCAAATGCAGCAATGTACTAAACTACTAATACATTATCACAAAGAAAAAATTTTCCCCAGAAATATATGAGCAATTGAATGTCAGGAAATTAGTCGTTGTAAATCATCACATTAATAAAGTAAATGAATAAAAACATGAGATTATCTCAATTGATGGTGGAAAAGTATTTGATCAAATTCAACATTCTTAAGCCCCCAGTAGGCTAGAAATAGAAGAAAACTTTTTTAATCTTACAAAGCTAATCTGTCAATCACTCACAGCAGACATCACAGATAATGGTAAAAACATCTGAAATATTTTCATAACAGAAAATATAAAATATTAAGATGATTGTTATCACTCTAATTACACAGCATTGTACTGGAGGTTCTAGTCAATGCAACAAGACACAAAAATTAAATAGAATGTGTAATTATCAGGTAAAAAGAGGAAGATTTGTCAGCATTACAGACCATATACTCACCTCTCTGGAAAATCCAGGAGAATCAGATGAAAAAGCAGTAGAACTAATCAGAGTTTATTAAATTTGCTAACTTTAAGATTAAAGTTTGTCCCACCACCATTTATTAAATAGGGAATCCTTTCCCCATTGCTTGTTTTTCTCAGGTTTGTCAAAGATCTGATAGTTGTAGATATGCAGCGTTATTTCTGAGGGCTCTGTTCTGTTCCATTGATCTATATCTCTGTTTTGGTACCAGTACCATGCTGTTTTGGTTACTGTAGCCTTGTAGTATAGTTTGAAGTCAGGTAGCGTGGTGCCTCCAGCTTTGTTCTTTTGGCTTAGGATTGATTTGGCGATGCGGGCTCTTTTTTGGTTCCATATGAACTTTAAAGTAGTTTTTTCCAATTCTGTGAAGAAAGTCATTGGTAGCTTGATGGGGATGGCATTGAATCTATAAATTACCTTGGGCAGTATGGCCATTTTCACGATATTGATTCTTCCTACCCATGAGCATGGAATGTTCTTCCATTTCTTTGTATCCTCTTTTATTTCCTTGAGCAGTGGTTTGTAGTTCTCCTTGAAGAGGTCCTTCACGTCCCTTGTAAGTTGGATTCCTAGGTATTTTATTCTCTTTGAAGCAATTGTGAATGGGAGTTCACTCATGATTTGGCTCCCTGTTTGTCTGTTATTGGTGTATAAGAATGCTTGTGATTTTTGTACATTGATTTTGTATCCTGAGACTTTGCTGAAGTTGCTTATCAGCTTAAGGAGATTTTGGGCTGAGACAATGGGGTTTTCTAGATATACAATCATGTCATCTGCAAACAGGGACAATTTGATTTCCTCTTTTCCTAATTGAATACCCTTTATTTCCTTCTCCTGCCTAATTGTCCTGGCCAGGACTTCCAACACTATGTTGAATAGGAGTGGTGAGAGAGGGCATCCCTGTCTTGTGCCAGTTTTCAAAGGGAATGCTTGCAGTTTTTGCCCATTCAGTATGATATTGGCTGTGGGTTTGTCATAGATAGCTCTTATTATTTTGAGATATGTCCCATTAATATACCTAATTTATTGAGAGTTTTTAGCATGAAGCGTTGTTGAATTTTGTCAAAGGCCTTTTCTGCATCTATTGAGTTAATCATGTGGTTTTTGTCTTTGGTTCTGTTTATATGCTGGATTACATTTATTAATTTGTGTATATTGAACAAGCCTTGCATCCCAGGGATGAAGCCCACTTGATCATGGTGGATAAGCTTTTTGATGTGCTGCTGGATTCGGTTTGCCGGTATTTTATCGAGGATTTTTGCATCAATGTTCATCAAGGATATTGGTCTAAAATTCTCTTTTTTGGTTGTGTCTCTGCCCGGCTTTGGTATCAGGATGATGCTGGCCTCATAAAATGAGTTAGGGAGGATTCCCTCTTTTTCTATTGATTGGAATAGTTTCAGAAGGAATGGTACCAGTTCCTCCTTGTACCTCTGGTAGAATTCGGCTGTGAATCCATCTGGTCCTGGACTCTAATGGTGCTGGGAAAACTGGCTAGCCATATGTAGAAAGCTGAAACTGGATCCCTTCCTTACACCTTATACAAAAATTAATTCAAGATGGATTAAAGACTTAAACATTAGACCTAAAACCATAAAAACCCTAGAAGAAAACCTAGGCATTACCATTCAGGACATAAGCATGGGCAAGGACTTCATGTCTAAAACACCAAAAGCAATGGCAACAAAAGACAAAATTGACAAATGGGATCTAATTAAACTAAAGAGCTTCTGCACAGCAAAAGAAACTACCATCAGAGTGAACAGGCAACCCACAAAAATGGGAGAAAATTTTTGCAACCTACTCATCTGACAAAGGGCTAATATCCAGAATCTACAATGAACTCAAACAAATTTACAAGAAAAAAGCAAACAACCCCATCAAAAAGTGGGCAAAGGACATGAACAGACACTTCTCAAAAGAAGACATTTAGCAGCCAAAAAACACATGAAAAAATGCTCATCATCACTGGCCATCAGAGAAATGCAAATCAAAACCACAATGAGATACCATCTCACACCAGTTAGAATGGCAATCATTAAAAAGTCAGGAAACAACAGGTGCTGGAGAGGATGTGGAGAAATAGGAACACTTTTACACTGTTGGTGGGACTGTAAACTAGTTCAACCATTGTGGAAGCCAGTGTGGCGATTCCTCAGGGATCTAGAACTAGAAATACCATTTGACCCAGCCATCCCATTACTGGGTATATACCCAAAGGACTATAAATCATGCTGCTATAAAGACACATGCACACATATGTTTATTGCGGCACTATTTACAATAGCAGACTTGGAACCAACCCAAATGTCCAACAATGATAGACTGGATTAAGAAAATGTGGCACATATACACCATGGAATACTATGCAGCCATAAAAAATGATGAGTTCATGTCCTTTGTAGGGACATGGATGAAATTGGAAATCATCATTCTCAGTAAACTATCGCAAGGACAAAAAACCAAACACCACATGTTCTCACTCATAGGTGGGAATTGAACAATGAGAACACATGGACACAGGAAGGGGAACATCACACTCTGGGGACTGTTGTGGGGTGGGGGAGGGGGGAGGGATAGCATTAGGAGATATACCTAATGTTAAATGACGAGTTAATGGGTGCAGCACACCAGCATGGCACATGTATACATATGTAACTAACCTGCACATTGTGCACATGTACCCTAAAACTTAAAGTATAATAATAATAAAATAAATTTTAAAAAAAAGAAAATTTCAGGAAAAAAAAAAGATTAAAGTTTTTAAATCAATAGCTTTAAAACACAAATTCACAGTTGGAAAAACGTAATAGGATAGAGTAGGACTTGGCACATTATGGCCCATGCGGCCAAGCCCGTTCCACAACCTGTTTTTGTAAATAAAGTTTTATTTCAGTATAGCTATACCAATTTGTTCATATATTGTCTGGGGCTGCTTTGAGACTGCAATGGTACAGTTGGTTATTTGAAAGAGAGATCATATGGTCCACAAAGCTTAAAATATTTACTATCTGGCCCTTCACAAACAAAGATTGCCAGCTCATGGAATAGAGGATCTCATTCTCATTAACAATGAAATTTATAAAAATACTCAGAAATAAATTTATAAATGAGTGGACAATTTATCGATTAATAAAAGTATAAAACTTTACTAAGGCATAAGATAAATTTTAAATAAGCTTGAATGGAAAGACTCAATACTGTAAAAATGTCTTTTCTCCTCCAAATGTATCTATAAATACAAAGTAATCACATTCGAAATTCCAAAGAGAGATTGTTAAACTTGACAACGCTAATTCCAAAATTTAAATGAAAAAGAAAATGTAGGACTTCCACTTCAAATAATGGCAAACCATTTTGCTTTAAACCGACCTACACGCGCACCTCAGAGACAAACAAAGATGGACACAATATTTAAAAGCAACTTTTTGGAACTAAAGGTAGATCCACACCTCGATCTAGCAATCCCACTACTGGATATCTACCCAAAGAAAAAGAAATCACTATATCAAAAAGACACTTGCATGCTTGTATTTATAGCAGCAGAATTCATAATTGCAAAGATATGGAATCAACCTAAGTGCCCATCAACTGATGAGCAGATAATGTTTATATATATACGTGTGTGTGTGTGTGTGTGTGTGTAATACTACTCAGACATTTAAAGAAAACAACAAAATAATGTCTTTTGCAGCAACTTGGATGAAACTGGAGGTCATTTTTTTTTTTTTTTTTTTTTTTTGAGACGGAGTTTCACTCTGTTGCCCAGGCTGGAGTGCAGTGGCGCCATCTTGGCTCACTGCAAGCTCCGCCTCCTGGGTTCACGCCATTCTCCTGCCTCAGCCTCCCGAGTAGCTGGGACTACAGGTGCCCACCACCACGCCCAGCTAATTTTTGGGTTTTTTTTTTTTTTTGTACTTTTAGTAGAGACGGGGTTTCACCGTGTTAGCCAGGATGGTCTCCATCTCCTGACTTTGTGATCCGCCTGCCTTGGCCTCCCAAAGTGCTGGGATCACAGGCGTGAGCCACCGCACCTGGCCTGGAGGTCATTATTCTAAATGAAGTAACTCAGGAATCAAAGACCAAGTGAGAGCTAAACAATAGGTACTCAAAGGCATACAGAGTGTTGTAATGAACACTGAAGACTCAGAAAGGAGGAGGGTGGGAGTGGGGTGAGGGATGAAAAACTACCTATTGGGTGAAATGTACACTACTCAGGTGATGGACGCACTAAAATCCTAGGCTTCACCACGATATGATTCATCCATGTAACCAAAAACCATTTGTACTCTTAAAGCTATTGGAATTTTTAAAATTAAAAATAAATAAATAAATACCTTCCTAAATGCATCCAAGAGCTAACAAGATAGTGAGAAATTATCACACCAAGATCTAAAATAAGATAGAAATTGAAAGAGGTGAGCCTGCCATTGAAGGCCACCTTTGTTCCCCAAGCAATTACAAATCCAAAAGAAGTAATTTATAAGCTAAGACCCATTTTGAAATATTCACAAGACAAGAGGGACAGGGGTAGGAACCTTAATGACACACTCACACTAAGAGCTGAGATGCCAAAGTTCTAAGCCTAAGGAGGAACCAGAAGTAAACTAACCATTACACAGGCTGCCTCTCAGTCTCAAGTTACCAGGTGTTCTAGAATATTTCAAACCTGAAATGGGATTAAGGTGATCTGAGATTGCTAGCACCTGGCAGAACCAAATGAAAAAGAACTAGCAACGTAAAATATGTCAAAGCAGATTTGAAAAAGCACCAAATAGGCAGGGTGCGGTGGCTCACGCCCGTAATCCTAACATTTTAGGAGGCTGAGACAGGCGGATCACGAGGTCAGGAGATCGAGACCATCCTGACTAACATGGTAAAACCCTGTCTCTACTAAAAATACAAAAAATTAGTTGGGCATGGTGCAGGTGCCTGTAGTCCCAGCTACTCGGGAGGCTGAGGCAGGAGAATCATTTGAACTCCAGAGGCAGAGGTTGCAGTAAGCCAAGATTGTGCCACTGCACTCCGGCCTGGGCAACAGAACAAGACTCGATCTCAAAAAAAAAAAAAAAAAAGCACCAAATAGATATTATAAGCTAAAAGTACAATGATTAAAATTAAGAACTTGAGACACAAATGAAGAGACAATTAATGAACTGAAATATATGTTAGGTAAAATATTTAGAATGAAGTGCCAAAAGACAAAGAGATGGAAATTACAGAAAAAAGAGTAAGAGACATAGGGGATGTGTTGAGAAAGACTGACATGGGTTTAACTGAAGTCCTGGAAGGAGAGTAGAGAGAATACGTTGGAAGCAATATTTAAACAAGTAAAATGGCTTTAAAATCTCCAAAACTAGTGAAATAAATTAATCCATGGATTCAAGACCCCAATGGCTCCTTGGCAAAATAAATAAAAATAAATGTATTCCCAGATACATCACAGTGAAACTGCATAAAACCAAAGACAGAGAGAAAATCGAAAGGTATCACTTCTAAGAAGAAACAGACCTACAGCTGACTTCTCAACAGCAACAGTGGAATACAGAAGACAGAAGGGTGGTATTTCCAATGGACTAAAAGAAAATACTGCCAATCTAGAATTCTATACCCAGTGAAAATACTTTTCAAGAACAATTTGAAATAAAGACATTTTTAGAGCAGCAAACGACCAAGGGGCTTCACCACTAACCAATTTGAACTAAAGAAAATATAAAAGGAAATGATCCCAGATGCAATAGTGCAAATTAACAACAAGGAATTAAAAAAAATGGTAAATATATGGATAAACCAAAATGAACAGAGTTTATTTTAAAAACTAATAATATTCCCTGTGAAGGCTTAAATGCATATAGAATTAAAATGCAGAACAACAGCACATGAGCCAAGAGAGCAGAACATGGAATAAAAGTATTCTGAGATCCTTACCCTGTTCAAGAGGAAAGTAAATGTACCAACTGATACTAGACTTCGATAAGTCAATAAAGCATATTGTTATCTAGAGAGATCATGGCAGGAGAATGGTATGAACCTGGGAGGCAGAGCTCGCAGTGATGGTGCCACTGCGGTGGCAGTGAGATTGCGCAACTGCACTCCAGCCTGGGCGACAGAGAGATACTCTGCCAAAAAAAAAAAAAAAAAAAAAAAAACAAAAAAAACAAAAAAAAACTTCAGAAGAGTATATGACTTCCAACCAACAGAGGAGTAGAGGTTGAATCATGTATGTATGACTATCCTCAAGAAAATGCCAAAAGATAGGTCAGGTGCAGTGGCTCATGCCTGTAATCCCAGCCTTTTGGGAGGCTGCGGTGGGTGGATCACATGAGGTCAGGAGTTCGAGACCAGCCTGGCCAACGTGGGGAAACCCCATCTCTATTAAAAATACAAAAATTAGCCGGGTGTGGTGGCACACACCTGTAGTCTCAGAGGCAGGAGGCAGGAGAATCGCTTGAACCTGGAGACAGAGGTTGTAGTGATGGTACCACTGCATTCCAGCCTGGGCAACAGAGTGAGACTCCATCTCAAAAAAAAAGAAAAAGAAAAAAGAAAATGCCAAATAATAGAAAATGAGGGAGGATTTGCCCAGATAGATGTTAGAACAAAGATTACGCACATATTTATTTAAATGATGTGGTGTAGGCATACAAATAGTGGAGTGGATTATGTTTATTTTTATGTCCCCCCAAAACTTCCTGTGTTGAAACCATGGCCTCCCGAATGACAGTATCTGGAGCGGGGACTTTGGGAGGTCATTAGGTCGTGTGACTAGAGCCGTCATGACAAGATTGGTGCCCTTATAAGAAGAAACAGCAAACAGCCTGATTCCTTTCTCTGCTCTGTGCCATGTGAGGACACAGAAAGAAGACAACCATCTGTGGACCAAGAAAGTACCTTTTCCTCAACAAAATCTTATTGTGCAGACACCCTAATCTTAGGCTTCCCAGTCTTCGAAACTGTGAGCAAGAAATTTCTGTTGTTTAAGTCACCCAGCCTATGGTATTCTATGACGGCAGCCTGAACTGACTGAGATAAATAGATATACGGATCACAGGAATGGAATCAAATCTACAGTTTTGTGTATATATGGCAATTTCATCTACAATGACTACAGTAATGATATAATAAGGAATTAGAAACTGTTCTAAGTGCATTTATTATTAGTAGCAAAATATTATTTGCTATAAAAGCATTTTGAATTCCTAGGAAAGAAAGAACTATTCAATAAACAGTTTAAAGAAAACTCCATATCCATTTGAAAAAAATAACTTAGATACATAACTTGTACCATACAAAAAATAAATTCCTGTTAGATAAAAATGCTAAATGTAAAAAAAAAAACTATAAAAGAGTTGGAATAAAACTATGATGTAATTATTATAATCTTGGTATTGGAAAGATTTTCCTAAAACAAGACATATAACCCAGAAGCCATATAATAGAGGATTAACATTTTTAATCTCATAAAATTTTAAAACATTTTTGTTGAAAAATGGCACCTCAAATACAGTTAAAATACAAACAGCAAATAGAAGACATTATATGCAACACACTTATCTCACATAGAATTTATAGCCAAACTATATCAAGATTATATACAAATCAATAAAACACACAATAAAATCAGACAAATGATATAAATAGGCAATTCACAGAAGAAAAATAGAAATGCCGATAATCATAGGAGAAAATGCACAGCTTCCGCTAGTAACCAGGGAAATGAAAATTAAAACAATAATGAGATATTATTTTATACTCATTATATTGCCAAAAAATTAAAAAGATTGATAGTAACAAATATTAGCAAGGATGTGTGAAAACTGCTTTCAGATACTTGCTGGAAGCATTTGAGAACTTGTGAGGTCATTTGGAACCCATTAGGCGTCATCGACCAATGTTTAAATGGGCATTCCCTTTACCCTAGCAATTTCATTCCTGGAAACCCACCTGCGCACAAAGATATACATACAAAAGCAGTTTTTGTACCCTGGTTTGCTAGCACAAAACGCTGGGGGTTGGGAAATTTGTAGATGTGTATCAATAGGAGAGTGGCTAAAGATTGACCTACTGTGGGACCATGGAATTCTCTGCATACATTAAAATAATGTAGTAGTCCTTCATGCACTGACATAGAAAGATGCCCAACACTTATCAAAAAGTAAAATAAAATTGAAAAATAATTTGCATGGTATGGCACCATTTATGTTTATATTTTTCTTACACACACACACATACACACACACACACACAAAGACATTGGAAGAATGGAACCCAAGGTGTTGATGTTGGTTACTGATATGGTTTGGATCTGTGTCCCCACCCAATATCATCTTGAACTGTAATCCCCAATGTTGGAGGTGGGGCCTGGTGGGAGGTGATTGGATCTTGGGGGTGGATTTCTCATGAATGGTTAGCACTGTCTACTTGGTGCTGTTCTCGTGATAGTGAGATCTCGCGATATCTCACTCACGGGATCACTATATACTTACAAAGTGTATAGTACCTCCTGCACCATTGTCTCTTGTTCCTGCTCTGTCATGTGTGACACCTCCCTCCTCCTTTGCCTTTCGCCATGACTGGAAGCTGCCTGAGTCCTACCCATGATTCGGGAGCAGGGAAGGAAAGTGCTGGGTAAAGGAGGGCTTGGTCCCTGGCTAGGGCTCCACCCCCATGGACGTAGCTGAGGACAGGCGCTCCTGCCTTCCCGCCCAAATGTTGCATTTCCCAAGACCACCCTGGACCGCCAGGGGCCCATCCTGTGCCTATAAAAACACAAGACCCGGCTGGGCCGCCTGTAATCCCAACATTTTGGGAGGCCTAGGTGGGCAGATCGAGAGGTCAGGAGTTTGAGATCAGCCTGGCCAACATAGTGAAATCCCGTCTCTACTAAAAACACATTAAAAAAAAAAAAAAAAAACACCTAGCTGGGCGTGGTGGTGGACACCTGTAATCCCAGCTACTTGGGAGGCTGAGGGAGGAGAATCACTTGAACCCAGGAAGTAGAGGGTGCAGTAAGACGAGATTGTGCCACTGCACTCGAACCCTGGCAACAGTGCCAGACTCCCTCTCAAAAAAATAAATAAATAAATAAATAAAATAAAAAACAAGACCCTGGCTGGGCATGGTGGCTCATGCCTGTAGTCCCAGCATTTTGGGAGGCCAAGGCAGGCAGATCACTTGAGGTCAGGAGTTCCAGACCAGCCTGGCCAACATGATGAAACCCTGTCTCTACTAAAAATACAAAAAATTGGCTGGGCATGGCGGCAGGTGCCTGTAATCCCAGCTACTCGGGAGGCTGACGCAGGAAAATCGCTTGAACCCGGGAGATGGAGGTTGCAGTGAGCCGAGGTCGCGTCACTGCACCCTGTGATATTGCTTCTAAAATCCAGGGGGAAGTGTATGACATTACTCCCAATATAACAGTGGGTGTACAACCACCCAAGGATACTGCTCCTAATATTCAGGGAAGGAAAAAATGATGTTACTCCCAATATCGCAGAGAGTGTGCAACCCTTCTGTGATATTGTTCCTGATATCTGGAGGGGGAGAGGATATTTAGTACAATATCGCAGGCTGTGTACCCAGTGACATTGTTCCTAATATCCAGGAAGGTAGAGGATGATATTCACCCCATATAGCAGGAGGTGTACACCCACGCTGTGATATTGTTCGTAATATCCAGGAAAGGGAGAGCCTGACATTACTCCCAATATCTCAGGTGGTGTACATCCCCCCGTGATATTGTTCTTAACATTCAAAAGAGGAGAGGATGACATTACTCCCAATATCGAAGAAAGTGTAAACCCTCGTGTGACATTGTTCCTAATATCCGGAAGGCGAGAAGATGTTATTAATCCCCATATTGCAGAAAGTGTGCACCCTCCCCCCATGATATTGTTCCCATGATCCAGGAGAGAAGAGGATGATATTACATTCAATATCGCATGGGGTGTACACGCCCCCAGTGATATTGTTCCTAACTTCAATGTGGGAGAGGATGATATGACACCAAATATCGCAGGGGGTATAAACACTCCTGGGATATTCTTCTTCATATCCAGCAGGGGAGAGGATCATATTACCCCCAATACTGCAGACAGTGTACACCCGTCTGTGAAATAGTTCGTAATTTCCAGAGGGAGAGATGATACTACTCACAATATCGTAAACACGCTGTGGGTCCACGGCAGGTCGTAATATTCAGTGGGGGAGAGGAGGATGATATTACTCCCCATCTCGCAGGGTGTGCCCACCCCACTGCGAGGTGGGTGGTAATATCCAGGGGGGAGAGGAGGATGATATCACTCCCCATCTCGCAGGGGTTTTCCACCCCCCAGCGAGGTGGATCATAATTTCCAAGTGGAGGAGAGGGGGATATTACTCCCCATCTGGTAGGGGGTGTCCATATATTATAATTATAGTTATAATTACATATATAATATAGGTAATTATAATATATTATATTATATATAATTCTAATTATAATATAATTACATATATAATTTTAATTATAATTAAATATATATTATATATAATTACATATATTATATAATTACATATATTATATATTATGATTACATATATAATGCATATATTGTAATTACATATGATATATTATATATTATAACAAAATATTATATATAATAATTACATACATTATATTATATATAATTACATATATATCATGTAATTATAATATATAATATATAATTACATATATTACATATATATTATGTAATTATTATATACTATATATAACATATATATCATATTAATATTTATATATTTATTATATATTATAGTATATATAATATAATATATTTATATTATATAAAATATATTATGCATATATAATATACAATTTATATAATATAATATGTTAATATTATATTTATGAATATTATTATATTTATTAATATTAATGTTATATATTTATATTATATTAATGTTATATTATATTAATGTGATATTTTATTATCATATTAATACAATGTGATATATTAATATGATATATTAATAATATTGATTAATATTTAATCTCTGAGAGAGACTCTGTACCAAAACGACAAAAAAAACAAGACTCTTGCAGGCAGACATAAAGCTGCTGGACGTCGTAAGGAATACATCGGCGGAAGAAGACACAACCCCCTGCTCGTGGAGAGCATGCTGGCAGAAGAGCAGGCCGCCAGGCACTGGCAGGCCGGCAGGCCATCGAGCAGAGGAAGGATGTGGAGTTTGGCCTGAGTGGTCAGAGTTGAGCCTGGCAGCCAAGCAGCCTGACTCCAAGGGAAAACCATCTGCCTTCTGACTCCCCCATCTGCTGAGAGCTACTTCTACTCAATATAAAACCTTGCACTCATTCTCCAAGCCCGCGTGTGATCCGATTATTCTGGTACACCAAGGCAAGAAACCCCGGGATACAGAAATCCCTCTGTCCTTCTGATAAGGAAGGGGCTCTACTTGAGCTGGTTAACACAAGCCGCCTACAGACCACACACTAAAAGAGCACCCTGTAACACACACCCACTGGGGCTTCAGGAGCTGCCAACATTCACCCCTAGACACTGCCTTGGGGTCGGAGCCCCACAGCCTGCCCATCTGTATGCTCCCCTAGAGGTTTGAGCAGTGGGGCACTGAAGAAGGGAGCCACGCCCCCATCACGTGCCCTCTGAGGGGGACAAGGGAACCTTTCCCATTTCACCTGGAAGCATATGCCGTCATGCTTCCTGTACAGTCTGCAGAACTATTAACCAATTCAGCCTCTTTCCTTTATAAATTACCTAGTCTCAGGTAGCCATGCAAAATTTGGCTAATACAGTTGCCCACAGGGAAGGGAGTATGAGTAATAAGTAAAGAAATGGCGACTTTCATGTATGAAAGTGATGTTTTGGCCAGGCGCGGTGGCTCACGCCTGTAATCCCAGCACTTTGGGAGGCCGAGGCAGGCGGATCACAAGGTCAGGAGATTGAGACCATCCTGGCTAACACGGTGAAACCCCGTCTCTACTAAAAATACAAAAAAATAACTGGGCGCGGTGGCGGGCACCTGGAGTCCCAGCTACTCAGGAGGCTGAGGCAGGAGAATGGCGTGAACCTGGGAGGCGGAGCTTGCAGTGAGCCGAAGTCGCACCACTGCACTCCAGCCTGGGCGACAGAGAGAGACTCCGTCTCAAAACAAAAAAAAAAAAAAAAAGAAGAAGAAAGTGATGTTTTGCCCAAAACTGAGGTGGAAGCAAATTGTGCGTTCATCGTCTTTGAGAGCAGGTTGGAGATATGTTTTGAGAGCTTCAGTGAAAGGCCAGGCCCTGGGCCTGTGAGTGATACCTGAGGGTGAACGGGATATAAACCCTGTTGCTTGAAACATTCAATTAATAGGCCCAGATCAATTCGCTATCCTTTACTTCTCAGATCTGTGACTTGGTGTTTTTGATTAGCGAGTCATGTCTGATGGTGGTTCCAAATTATCCATGCCCCACCACTGAGAGGAACCTGATTTTTTTATGACCACGTGATGCCAGACAACAAGCTGTGTCTAGCTAGGTGACAACGAGGCAAGAAAGAAAGGTCCATGTCCAGCTAAGAGAGGCAAATCTCTCTCCCAGGATCTTTGAACAGCTCACTCCCTTTGCTACCTGTGTTAGAACCCTTCATTAATAAGCAATAAACCTTGACTCGCATTTGGAAATTTTAACTGACCATGGTTTGCTCTGTATTTAAATTTTATAAAATAAGACTGTATTGAGGTAATACCTGTGAAATATATAGCTCCATAAATAAATGTCCCCCTAGTATAGCTTTTGATTGGATATTTTCTATCTCGGTGGATGTTAAACAACTCATTTGGAAGCCTAGAAAACAATTTGATGTTTAAAATAGGTTTTTATACTCAAAAAAATATTGAGATACTTCATATACTTTTCACAATTACTCTAATGAATGAAAGGGAATGAAGTGGAGAGAGGGTGGTGTGGGAAATAAATGAATTTTCAGTCGTGGAGCACAAACTCAAAAACCATAGCCAAATTGACTCCCTGTGGTGCACATCTTTCAAGAGCCCTGCACATACAGACAGGGGGCCCTGGGTTCCAGCCACCAACCCCATTCCCCCTGCTCTCTTGAGAGGCCCCCAGCACCCTTTTCTCGCTGCCTCTGCTGCACTCTCCTGGCCAAACCCCAGCCTGCTCCAATCCAACTGTCTCACTTCTGCTCACCCACACCAGAGCAGCTAAATGTCACCCAAGAAAATCACTTCAAATGACCTGATTCTGATTTGTTACACTTTCAATTCATGACCACAGAATTCACTCAGAGACTAAGCCCTCTGGACCGCCCTCCCGTATTAATCTCTTGGGTTCACTTTGTGGCTGTCTTAGAAAACTGTTCTGTCGGCTATGCATGTAGGCTCACGCCTGTAATCCTAACACTTTGGGAGGCCGAGGCAGGCAGATTGCCTGAGGTCAGGAATTCGAGGCCAGCCTGGCCAACATGGTGAAACCCTGTCTCTACTAAAAATACACAAAATTACCCAAGTGTGGTGTAGGACGCCTGTAATCCCAGCTACTCAGGAGGCCGAGGCAGGAGAATCACTTGAATCTGGGAAGCGGAGGTTGCAGTGCGCCGAGGTAGCGCCACTGTACTCCAGCCTGGGCAAAATGAGTGAAACTCCACCTCAAAAAAAAAAAAAAAAAAAAAAAAAATTAAAAAAAAGAAAGAAAGAAAACTGTCACTTCTCTCTCCTTTAATCCCCTCCCAACTCCCATTTTGGCCAGTGGGGGCACCTCATTCTCCAGGGCAGAAAGAAAAGAAAATAACAACAGAAGCTCCCTCCTGTTCCTAGGCCAACCCTGTGTGAGGCGGGTGCCCACTCTTGCTCCTGTCTTAATAGAAGATGCATCCCTGCTCCTCTCAGAGGCCCATATGCCCTGGAGCCCAAGTTTCCTTACCTTCTCCAGGCATTTACTCCTCTCTCATATTTTAAAAATTACCCTCAGCTCATTTTGCACTTCTGCTTGAAACCCTCTGTGACTTCTTCTGTACTTAGAAAATCCACAGCCCCTATGCTGGTGGCTGGGCATTGGGGGCCTGGCCTCTACCCACCTCTCCAGCCCAGCTCCTCCTGTCCTCCATCACCTGTTCAGTCCTTTTGGCTCCTTGAACAAGCAAAACTGTCCCTCACTACAGGGCCCTCATAGTGGACACGCTGTCCACAGCCCTGTGGCCAGCTTCTGAGTTTATCTGGAGCTGAGGCAGACTGTTCCAGCTCGCTGGCTGCCTCCCTAGACAAGAGCCTGGGTCTCTCTGCTTCTCAGCCTAAGGGTGTCCTCTCCCCCACAGAACGTGTCCAGCTTCCCAAATGCACAACCCATGAGCATGGAGAAGTGACCAGCCCTGGAGACAACCCTCAGCCAGTGGGAGATGGGAGTAAATAGATGCACTCCCAGTTCCCACCTCTCATTGGGATGATCCTGAGCAAGCGTCACCATTCCTCAGAGGATCCCCACCGGACTGAGTTCCTGCTCACAGTGATACCCCTTCACGAATGCACGTGTTATGGGCTTTTTTTCCCTTCCCTGTCTGTTTCCCACCTCCCAATTTGTGCTTTGTTTTTTGGTTTTTTTTTAGACAGAGTTTTGCTCTGTCGCCCAGCCTGGAGTGCAGTGGCGCCATCTCGGCTCACTGCAACCTCGGCCTCCCAGGTTTAAGTGATCAAGCAATTCTCCCACCTCAGCCTCCTGAGTAGCTGGGATTATAGGTGCATGCCACCACGCCCGGCTAATTTTTGTATTTTTAGTAGAAATAGGGTTTCACCATGTTGGCCAGGCTGGTCTTGAACTCCTGACCTCAGGGGATCCACCCATCTTAGCCTCCCAAAGTGCTGTGATTAGAGGCATGAGTCACCGCGCCCGGCCCAATTTGTGCTTCTTGAAATCACTTCCCAGGTAAACTACCAGCGCCCAAGTCCCTCTCATAGAGCCAAACTAGGATGCACTTTGACAATCTAAGATCCTTGTTTTCTGTCTCTCCTTACCAGCCTGTCAGGCTAGAGCAGGTCCTTGTTTACCTTGGTCATTACTGTGTCATCAGTGCCAGCACATTCCTGGAGATCAAAAAAAAAAAAAAGTGAGTCAATGAATGAACAAGCCAAAACTGCTGAATGCACACAAGCACAGCCACATGTACACAATTCCCAAAGTTTTGAAGAATCAAAGATTGAACATTCTCTCTCTAAGCAAGCACTGACACCAAAACCTGAGACACTCATTCTTCGTTCTCATCTAAGAGTTAACAGTTTCCCTGAGGCCTCCTTCTCCAAAGGCAATGTTACCCACTAGTTAACTTAAGCCTTTTAGAGGAAAAAAAAAAAATAGTTACTTGAGATTAACACTAGAACATGCTTCTATCTCCTGGTTTTTATCTCTAATCTTAGTCAAGCCATTCCTAACTTGCCCTTCAGTATAGATCAGTAATTCAGAGTGAAATCTCTAGAGTTAGACTCCCTGGGTTCAAACCCCAGCTTAGCCTCAGTTTTTTTTTTTTTTTTTTTTTTTACCATTTGTACGGTGGGGATAATAAGAGTACTATATCACAAGGTTACTGGGGGACTAATTGCATTAAAATATACAAAGTCCTTAGGACACTGTTGGCACATGGTAGGCACTATTCAGGTATTTGTCATTAGTTCTAGTGTTAATATCTTTTTTCTTTTTTTTTTTGAGACGGAGTCTCACTCTGTTGCCAGGCTGGAGTGCAGTGGCAGGATCTCGGCTCACTCCACCTCCCAGGTTCAGGCAATTCTCCTGCCTCAGCCTCCCGAGTAGCTGGGACTACAGGCGTGAGCCACCACGCCCAGCTAATTTTTGTATTTTTTGTAGAGACGGGGTTTCACCATGTTGGCCAGGATGGTCTCAATCTCTTGACCTCGTGATCTGCTCCCCTCGGCCTCCCAAAGTGCTGGGATTACGGGCATGAGCCACCACGCCCGGCCATCCTAGTGTTATCTCTTATTTCCCACCTTTGGAACCTGATATTGTGGACACAGCCGTGTAGTCTGCGATCCCCCACCCTCAGTCTGTGGTTACCACTCCTTCTCCTGTCTTCAATCAGGACCTTTCACAAACAGAATCCAGGGTCCCAAGTGGAGGGCAAAGCCTCACTGAGGTGTAAAACATCCCCTCCTTGATCCAAAAGCCTACCTCAGTCCCCCATCAAGGGAGCTATGATGGTTAATTTTGTGTGTCCACTTGGCTGGGCCATGGTGCCCAGGTATTTGGTCAAACATTATTCTGGATGTTTCTGTGTGGGTGTTTTTGGATGAGTTTGACATTTAAATTGGTGGACTTTGGGTAGAGTGCCCTCCATGAGTCGGTGGGCCTCATCCAATCACCTGACAGCCTGAATAAAACAAAAGATTGCTCTCCCCCAAGCAAGAGGGAATTCTGCCAGCAGATGGTTTCAGACAAGAACTGCAACTGTGGCTCTTTCCTGGGTCTCCAGCAGGATGGCCTATCCTGTGAATTTTAGGCTTGCCAACTTCCATTATTCATGCACCTATTCCTTAAAATAAATCTATACACTGTTGATCAAAATTAAGGCTCTTGAGGCTGAAATAAATTGAAAAAGCTTTAGCAGAAGTCAAATGTGAGCATCAACCTGGGAAGACACACCAACGAATTTAGGTGTGTTCCAAAGTCTGTTACAAGTTGGAATGCCATTATAAGAACGTTTAGGAGAAGGGAGGGGGTCTTCTCATATCAGAGTTGCTCTTTTTTATTGGTGGGTTCAATTCAGAGGTTACAATCATCGGCTACAGTTTACAGCATACTGGCCAAAATGTCCTACAGCAAGACAATCAGCAAAACTTCATGCATCAGAAACAAATCAGTGTCCGTTTCAGTGTTAATAGGTTACATATTAATCAGTACATCAAAAATTTGAGGAACTCACAATAAGATTTGAGGGACTCACAATAAGATTTGTTACTCAGAGGGGCCAGGCGCGGTGGCTCACGCCTGTAATCCCAGCACTCTGGGAGGCCGAGGCGGGTGGATCATGAGGTCAGGAGATCGAGACCATCCTGGCTAACAAGGTGAAACCCCGTCTCTACTGAAAATACAAAAACTTAGCCGGGCGTGGTGGCGGGCACCTGTAGTCCCAGCTACTCAGGAGGCTGAGGCAGGAGAATGGCGTGAACCTGGGAGATGGAGCTTGCAGTGAGCCGAGATCGCGCCACTGCACTCCAGCCTGGGCGACAGAGCAGGACTCTGTCTCGAAAAAAAAAAAAAAGATTTGTTACTCAGAGACAGGATGTAAGCCATGAATCATAAGACCTTTCCCAGGTGGTTAATTTGGAAGCCTGCCAAAGGTGACCTGTAAGTTATCATTTCCCCTTTTTGATCAAAAATCTTCATGTGGAAGCACTGATGATAAATCTCCACTTAGGTTAGAGTGATAGACATTCTTTATCCCTAGGCACTGAGAAGGCTCATTCCCAGGAAGTCTCATCTCTCAATGCAAAGAAAGAACCTTGTTATTGCAGGCAGGTTGTTAGCAACATGGGGCAGAACATGACACAAGGCTATGTGCTGTTTTCCTGAATAATGAATCACATACAGTTGCTGGGTGATATTATTTTGGCCTTAGCTGTTGAGGAATAGTTTCCATATTCTGGAGAATTTGGGTAAAGAGAAAATAAGTGTCTTAATTTTGTTCACAAAAGCATACTTTACCCAATTGTTGTAAGGTGGCTCAAAAGAAGGAAAACTTTTTGACGTTGGAAAACAGAATATAAAAAGAATTAGCAATTTTTTTAAAAGTCATAAAAATCATTTTAGTCCTCTATGAGTGCAGTCCCGTGTAATTCTTGTTTTGTTTGATGTTGGGTTAGTGATCTTGATGTACAACTTTTTATGGAAGTTTTTATTTAGTCTATTATTCTTAAAGTTATCGGAAATCTGTATTCAAAAGGACTTGTTAGAGTCTCTTCCATGGAAAGCAGTTTTGGAGTATAGCTGATTGCAAATGTTTCTAGAGAAGATTTCAAAACAATAGCTCTGGCCTGTAATCCCAGCACTTTGGGAGGCCGAGGCGGGTGGATCACTTGAGCTCAGGAGTTCGTGACCTGCCTGGGCAACGTGGCAAAATCCTGTGTCTACTAAAAATACAAAAAATTAGCCAGGCGAGGTGGTGCACGCCTATAATCCTAGCTACTCGGGAGGCTGAAACAGGAGAATCGCATAAACCTGGCAGATGGAGGTTGCTGAGAGCTGAGACTGCACCACTGCACTCCACCCTGGGTGACAGGGTGAGACTCTGTCTCAATTTAAAGAAAAAAAAAAGCTATGATCACAAAAACTTTGAATAGCCATAGGTTAAATCTGATGAAAATTCCCAATTGACAAAGAAATTTAGTTATTTCCATTGCATGTAGCATTTTAAGATAACAACCACAACTATGACTGACAGTGTCATATCAGGACCATTAGACTTTTATAAATTTTATGTAATCTTTAGAATACTCATATTAATAACATAGCCATATAATTTTAGAAAAAATTAACATAATCAAAATTATGACTGATAACATATTGGGTTTTTATAATTTACATACTTTTTGGAACATTTATATCAACAACATACCCATAGATGTAACTGAAGGAAGATTAGTATCATTTATTGTCATTGTTTTCCATATAATTCACCAAATACATATATTAGATCAAAAACTGCAATTAAAACTGCAATTACTTTTGCACCAACCTAATATTTAATCCAAAAAGACTTAATTTAGGATTTTCACCCTTGGAAAATACGTCAAATATGTCAGAAGTTTCAAAACATTGGAACAAAACAAAATTACAGGTCATTGTCTTTGTAAAATAATAGTTATTTATTTAACCAGTGTGACAATCAAAAGACCTCAGGGGCCATACAGAAAGTTACATGAATATAAAACCCTTAACCCATTTACAGCTCAGTTTTCCTAAGTAATCAAGAAACCTAATAAAGGCAACACAGGAATTATCTTGACAAAATGTAAAATCTTTGGTTTTTCAGTCAGCTACCAAAAAGGTAAAGAATAACCTCCTGTGGTGTGATTGCTTCTCCTTATGAGAAGCCAATTTAGATAACCTGGAAGCCAAGCCTGATGAAAAGGATATTTAAATTTAAACAGACGCAGACACAGGAAGTGTTTCCAGGGTGATGAGTGAACACTGCATCACAGAGGAATGTAAACAAGAAAACCATTACCTTGATCAGGGGAATACATGGTTCTTTGTATGGGAAGTCTCCAAATTACATTGACCAATTCAGACACATCAAGAAAAGCCAAGAGAATGGAATCAAGTTACACTGGAGGAAAACATTGCTTTTCTAGAACTTCAAGATAAACATTTCAGCAGCAGGCCACAACATCAGAATTAGAACTAGAGAAAAAAGTTATAGGAATGGATGAAAAGGTGGAAAGAGTTATCACCCCAGCCAAGCAAAAAGATATATCTTTTCAAGAGGAGGAAAAACAGAAAGCAATGATACATGACCTGCAAATTACATGTAGCCGAGCACAGCAAAAGTTGAACTTGCAAAATATAAATCTCAGAAGTTTCAAAAAGAAAAAGATAACAGAATTAAAAATCAAAACCTCTTACAATGTCATTAAGAGCGAATCAATACTTTAAGAAAACCTTGTTCCAACATAGGGGACCAATCTTTAGAAAGACTTATAAATAATTTCCTTTTAATTATAGCCAACTTAAACACACACAAAATTTCTTTCTTAAATTCTCTTTTCATGAACCTGATACAGACCATTTATGACATGCTTACTTTATCCTACACTTCCTTTTTCTTAAATACCAAGTCATTTTACTTTAGGACAAAAAATTATTATTCAAGATTTTTTCTCACACAAAATTATTTTTTCTTTAACCTTACTTAATAAAAATATATATTTATGTCCACAACTTTCTTCACATCTCTCTCTCTCTGTCTTACTTAATGGTTCCTTTCTATCTTCTTATATCTTTCCCCTAAATCTACATTTTGAATCAACTTTTAAATAACCTCCAAATTCGACAAAATTATTTTTTCTCAGTAAAGAAAACATGTTATCCCTTTTTATGTTTTTTTCTCTTAAAAACACATCTTGTTTTTTAGGTACACTTTATATACAGAATTATACATATTATTTAGAATTTTTATTCTTAGCAACCTTACATTTTGGTGAAAACCTAGGAGGCAAGAAATCTTGAATCATCTGTCACATATCAGTAGTTTATAGATGAAAACCATTTGATAATTTTTAGAAACATGTTTCCTTCTAACATAATTTTTTCTTAATTGGAAATAACTCGGACGTTTAATAAGTAGTTATTATTTAACACAATTTTAATATTTCAAAGTACATGAAAATTGTATGTATAAGCACTTTATCCCATTTACATTTAATTTATTTATTTTAAGTTTACCCAGATTATGAGAAATGAGATATTTGACAAACCTAGGCATTATTTCAACTTATTTCTATGTTAATCATTTTCACAGCTTATGAAGATATTTCTATTTTACCAATAACTTTAAAGCTATCTTATTTATTAAAGATTTACTTAAGTCACATGAACTTGGGGAATATTGGGGCTAATTTATGAGTGAAAAGACAAGTGGATCCAAATTATATCTCTGACAAAATTGAGACCTGTTTACATGAATAAACTTTGTTTGCCCCAATAGATAATATAGTGAAGACTCTGAACTAAAATTTTGGAAATAGCAGTTTCCATGGCAGTTTTATATTTTTAAGAATCTCTTTCACTTCTTTTTTTTTTCCTTTGGTTTCAGATGAATTTAGGGTTACATTTTTAATGTTTAGCCATTATCTAGAACTGGCTGAATTCTATAAGAAAAACAAAACCTCCAAGCAACCTTGAATTAGTAATACCAGTAGCAGTGAGTTTTATCTCAAAACCAGTAGAAAACTCAGCAGATTCATAGTAGGTAGCAGAAAAAAATAGAGAAATAAAGAACTTAGAAGATTCTACATACTAACGTTAGAGTTGCAGGGTTTTGGAATAACGACTATTTGAGTTCTGAATTTTCCTTGAAGTAACTTGCCCATCAATTTACAAATGTGCACAAGAATGGGCCATAATATGTAGCCAGCTGGAGGCCTAGAAAACCTGGCATTGCCTCAACGGTTGAGAATCCCAGAGTGTTTCTCATTAACAAAGTTTAGGGATAAAAAAATTGTTTAAAAAAAATCTGTATTTTTTAATCTCAGCAGTTTTATTCTCATTCTGCAGTTGTTTCATTTGCTTCTTTTGTTTCGAATTTAAATATATTTCCCCCTTTTGAGAGAAGAAAATGTGAGCATTGTGAAATTCCAAAAATCTCTGCCTAAGAGATGTATAAAGCCAAGGGAACAAGCAGAAAGGAGTGAGTTCAGATCAGAGGGGCAGAAGAAGGGGGAGCAGGTGAAGGTTACAAAGCTTTTAGGTGCTATTGGAAGTAAGTCACCCATTCAATTTGTTTGGTTCTAAAGCCAGCTTTTTCCAATTTTGTGTTTAAATAAATCATTTTAGACATTTCAAACAAATTCCCATTTTGGCTGTTGCTGCTTATGACCATCCCGAGTTAGGTTGATCCACTTACCTAAGTACTGGCAAGGACAAGGACCATAAGGATTACACATAAAACCAGCTGGTGCAACTAGAGGACCCACTTCCCATCTTGGTTGTTTTCAGTGAGACAAGCTATGTAGTGGAGCAAGAGTGCCCTCACGCAATCAAAAAAGGAGAAAGCTAAGGAAAGGTGGTCTCACCCCAAACTCCCAGGAAACAATTCACAGAGCTCCTATTCTCCCTTGCCGTAGTACTCAACAAAAACCTTTACCTCGAATTTGTAGCAGTAACTCTCATTCTGAGAGAGTCCTCCTATGTCCTAGCCAAGGAGGAAATCAGATTCAATAAACCGGAACTTTTACTAAGACAAGAAGTTAATTGATTTCAGGAGGAACTCATTTGTAGACCTAGCAGGTGCATCCAAGCTCAAAAATGCAATGGGTTCATTGCCAGTTCCTGCCCAAAGGTTGGAAGCTGCTCCAGGTGGTCCAGGGAGGTCACTCTGAAATCCTGCCAACTATGCCATTTTGTCAACCAAAATTAAGGTTGTTGAGGCTTTGGAAGGCTTGACAAAGGCTTACTGGAAGCCAAATGTGGGGAGCAACCTGGGAAGACACACCAACAAAGTCAGTGTTCCAAGGTCTGTTTCAAGCATGTTCCAAGGTCTGTTTCAAGTTGTAATGCCTTTACAAGAAAGTTTAGGAGAAAGGAAGGCAGCTCCACATATCAGAATTGTCATTTTTTTTATTGGAGGGTACAAGACAGAGGTTACAATCCTTGGCTACGGTTTACAATATACATGCTAAAGTGTCCTGCACACAAGACAATCAGTAAAATTTCATGATTCAGAAAGAAATCAGTGTCCTTTTCAGTAGCAGTAAGCTATGTATTAATAAATGTATCGACAGTTTGAGGAACTCACGATAGGATTTGAGGGACTCAGGGGCCTGGCACGGTGGTTCACACCTGTAATCCCGGCACTTTGGGAGGCTGAGGGGGGCGGATTACCTAAGGTCAGGAGTTCGAGACCAGCCTGACCAATGTGATGAAACTGTCTCTACTAAAAAAAAATACAAAAATTAGCCAGGCGTGGTGGCGGGCACCTGTAATCCCAGCTACTCAGGAGTCTGAGGCAGGAGAATCACTTGAACCCGGGAGGCAGAGGTTGCAGTGAGCCGAGATCATGCCACTGCACTCCAGCCTGGCGGACAAAGCGAGACTCCATCTCAAAAAAAAAAAAAAAAAAAAAAATGTTCTTTAGATTCTTTACTCAGGGACAGGATGTAAGCCATGAATCATCATGAGACCTACCCCAGGAGATTGATTTGGAAGCCTGCCAAATGTGACCTGTAGGTTACCAACATCCATATCTAATCTGTATCCACATCCTATTAATCCTGTCAACTAAGATATATCTATATCTATACCTATAGCGATATCTACGCCCACATCCTATCAGTTCTGTTTCTTTGGAGAACCCTAATACAAGAGGCAACCTGAGAAAGGAGCTCTGCCCCCCACGGAAGGTGAATACTGAAAAAGATACCATCATTTATCTCTTCTCCCTACACAGATCATCATCTGGCCACTGATGTTTCAGTCAAGTGTTGAATCCATGTCCCTTGCTTTCATATTTCTCCAAGTATTTTTTTTATTATCTTAACTACTGTCACATGGACATATTAACTTTAAATATTTTGTGACAAAGAGGCCTCTTTTGGAGAATGTTCTCAGAGGGAAAGACTGCCTCTGCCTGCTTCTCGCCCCTCCTGCCTCCTTCTTGGTTGATTAGCCTTCATCTCATGATCTTCCATTCTGGCTCCCCATGGTAATATGCCCATCCTTAATTCTAAACAGAGACCCCCTTGCTCACTCAGTTTCATGATGAATTGATGAGTGACCCTGTTTCACCAAGACACCAACACTACAAGGGTAACTTTCTAGCACTTGCCTCAAAACAACTCCTCCTGCAGCCTATGGGACCGTCACAAAGCTATCCAATGACCCCTCCTCCTCTTTTATCCAGACTTTTGTCTAGACTGAAGTCACTGCAGAACAGCCCAGAGTCAGAGTATACTTCATTGTCCTTGCCCATAAATGCTCCACCTGAGTTTTTAAAGTCTCCTCGCCCATCAGACCTCACTCCCTTCCCCTCAAAGTCTTCGATGCTCTTCTTCTGAGATGCTCCTGAACGGTGTTCCTGAACTGTCTTCATGTCCCGAACTCCAGGTTTATTCTGCTTGTATTCTTCATGTAAATTTGATCTTACTGAACAAAACATAATCTTAAACCAATTCCAGTAATTGCCCCCATTCCTCTCCGAAAGTTTCCAGCATTAGGTTGTGCTCATAGCACACCAACAGTGTCTGATACGCAGCTCAAGAAACATTCATTGAATAAATGAATACACTCGTATCCAAAACCCTTCTGGTTGACACTGATTTTAGCAGTTAAATTCTGACATGTCTAGGCATGATTTTCTTATTTATTCTCTTTCAGGCTTGCTAAGATTCATGAATTTGTAAATGTATGTCCTCATCTCCAAACTTTGGAAGATTTGTGTGGTTATTTCCTATCATGGTTTTTATCTGGTTTTCTCCTTGGGACTCCAATTATTTATAAGTTAGAGAGTTTTATATTTCCCCTATAAGTCCCTGAAGCTCTTCTTTTTTTTTTTCATCTTTTTTCTTTTTTCCTCAGATTTAGTCATTTGTATTAATCTGTCTTCAAGCTCACTGACTCTTCCGTCACTTCCTTTCTGCTAATAAGTCCACCTAGTGAATTATTTATTTTATATAATTGTTTTTTAGTTCTAGAATTTGTATTTTGTTCTTTTTCTATAGGCTCTATATTTCTGTTAAGATTTCCCTTTTTTAAATCCATTATAACCACGTTTCCCATAATTGTAATACAACTACAGTTGTAGTTGCTTTAACTCCTTTGTGTGATAATTTCAGTCTCTAGGTCATGACCTCTATTGACTGTCTTTTCCTTTGAGAATTGGTCCCATTTTTGTGTTTTTTCATACGTCAAATACTTTTGGATTATACCCTAATTTTGTGGATTGTTACATTGTTGAGACTCTGGATTCTGTCATATTACTCTGAAGAGTGTTAATGTTTTTATTTAACAGGCATCGAACTTGTTGAGTTTCAAACTACAAACTCTATCTCATCTGAAGTGGGCAGCAGATCTAATTTCATTTCAGGTGTTTTGGCCTTAGCTGCAAGCTTCTTTGGGTCTGCACCATGCATGCACAACTCAGGGATCAGCCAGAGACTTGGGTAGAATTTATTCACAGAACTTGGGGCTCTTTTCTCTGCTTATTTCCTTTCTGGAATTCATTCCCTCATTTTCTAGCAGCTGTCCTCTGTCTCTGTCCTCTGGTTCTTCAGGCCAGAAAGAGAGTGGGCTTTCTATCAGAATATTCGATGCTCTGTGCTGTGTCATGACCGTAGCTTCCTTCAAATCAAAAGTCATCAAAAGGGGAAACCCACTTCACGCTAGTCCCTTCTTCCAAGTTTCAAATACGCTACACAATCTGCCTGTCTTTGTTCACTACTCAGAGCCTTTCAGATTTCTATATTTTATCCAGGGTTTATGGTTATTACCTGAAGGAGGGTCAGTCTATTAGGAGTCTATTAGCAGTGTACTCCACCATACTGGAGAAGAACCAACACACAATCAATACATTGACTTTAGAATAATGTTCAGCATTTTCAGTTCATTTATACACATATTTATTTGTAGTGCAGACTCAAATACCATCAAAACTATAATTTTTATGTATTTTTTGTTTACTAATTGGGAACCAAGAAATAATGACAGATGGGTAGACAAGAGTTACATTGAGAACTTTCAACAGCAGAAAGCTACAGCAATTTGAGAAATTCTGGAATTTCCTTGTAGCCAAGAAAACAAAGGAAATTATATGGATTTCATGTGTTTCAGAGTATAGTAATGGGAAATCTGCAAGTCCACTGAGGAATTCACTTCCCTGGTCCTGAACTCAATGGAGCGATGTGTCATCTCCTGTCAGTAGTGATACTCGTATATACTGAGTTACTCATTATTTGTTTTAATCCTGGGATTTAAGTGTTAAATGAAATTACTCAAGTAAAGAATTTTTCATAGTGCAGATAGCAAAGATAACAATGGTGGTGTTGGTAGCAGTAAGATAAACTCTACTTTTATCTTATCTTTGTAAAGGAGAACCCATTTCACCTCCTGACAGATTTCAACCCAGTATGTCAGTGACTCCTAAGTCAGAATGTCACTCACTCGATTTGGCTCCAGTGGGAAACTGTCTCCAAAAAACCAGCAAACCCATCATCCTGGAGGCAGAACACTGTCTGCATTCTGGCCAGGCTCTGGGCATCAGGCCTCCCTGCCCCTCAGACACTTCACCAGCGCAAGCACCCAGGAAAGGCCTAGGAGCCGACTGGGGAACAGCCTCAGGGTCCTCCAGTCAATCTCCACATAAGTGCTGCAAGCTTTGTTCTGAGGAATTAATCAGAGGAGAAATGATCTGGAGAAGGCGCCTGGGGAATGAGGGAAGCATGACACACGTTAATCAGCCTTGCGTGTGGAGCTAGGGTCACCTTTCACGCACAGTCCCTGTGTCCCAGAGCCCTCTCCTCAACCCCACCAGAGGCCACCAAGCAGGGTGTGGGCTGTCAGCTGTGTCTCCAGCCCTGGGGGAGGAGGAGGCTCCGCAGAACCATCCACATCCCCTCATGTGAGAGTCAGCTGGCTGAGCTTGTGCTTGGCACTCTGCCTGGGGAAGGGTCAAAGGCAAAGGCTAGTCTATGTTTATGATGAGGGCTTCACTGGTGACCACAGTCAGGATTTATGCCGAGGTCACGGGTAGAGGTCAGTACGTGGTAAGGATTAGGGATGAGTATATAGCAAGGACCAGAGCAGTCTGTGGCCAGTCCGCCTGTGGCTCTGTCTGTGATCAGAATAAAAACTAAGCTTATATTCATGGCAAGGGCTCAGCTGAGGGTCAGAGTCACGGTGCCAGGAACCCTGATTAAAAACCTAGCACCTCTGAAGTTCTCTCAGCCAAGAAGGAAGTCAGTTCATGTGAGGGAGCTCAGGTGCTCATTTCTCAGAAGCTACATGTGCTGTGTCTCCCAGGTAACTGCAGACTAAGGAAAACTGCATCATAATCACTTAGAGATGTTTGTTTCAAAGGCAGATGCTGCAGCCCCGCCCAATAACCATGAACCTGGGAAGCTGAAATTCAATGAGTTTCCCAGCGATTCTGATGCACTCTAAATTTGAGACCCTCTGCTTCAGCTCCCCCAAAGCTTTCCTTCCAAGGAGCTCTCCAAGGCGGCATTCCTTACAGCCTCAGGGCATCTATGTGCAATCCCAAGCCCCTTTCCCACTTTAGATTTGGGGCTGTGGCAGATGCAGCGGTTCCCTCCCTGCCACCTGCCAGCACAAGGCTGAGCAATGTAGATATGCCTCAGAAGTCATCTATGTCCTCCTTTGGTGATAGTGACGGTGGCACCTTAGGATTTGACTATGTGCACCCCTGGCTGGCTTCTCCCCATCACAGACAGCAGATCCTACGTGATAGTAATAGCAATCATAAATAATAGCAACTCACATTTATGTGACACTTACTATGCCAGTAATACATGAGCATACAGTAATACATAAGCTACATGTATTAGCTCAACTAATCCCCACAACAACCTCTGAGGTAGGTACTATCATTGTTCCCTTTTCACAGATGAGGAAACTGAGGCCCAGAGAGGTGAAGAAACCTGACTAGGGCCACAAGGCTAAAGAGAGGCAGAGCCCAGACTGATCCCGGAGCATGCCCTCTTATCCGTGATGCTCTAGGCCATGGCAGATAATCCATGGTATTGTTCCCCCAAAATGTGACTATTTCTTAAAACAGGCATTATAATAAGTACTGTCCCCACTAACTCCAGCTGTTCTCCCTCAATGCTTAATCAAACTCTAAATGTATCTTATCTTTGTAAAAGGGAAACCGTGCCTTTTCCTCACCTGAATTTCTCAGAGATATGGGAAAACTTCAGGCCTTGCATCTAATTTCTGGATGTAGACAGAGATGCTTGCTTTCTCTCTTGCCTCTTCTCCTGCATCTCTGATACCTGCCTCAAGAACCCGCTCCCTGCATAGCCTTTTCCAACAGCAGGACCAGGAAAGGAATTCAAGACAGAATCCATGCTCCCCAGGCCTGGCCCTCAAGCCTCTCCTACAGCACAGGCATGAAAGGGGCTCCTCGTCAGATCTGGCATCTTACGACCATGACAAGCCTCTGCAGAAACGGCTTCCTAAAGTAACATTGCTCCGAGTTCAAGTCCAGCCTGGCCAACATAATGAAACCCTGTCTCTACTAAAAATACAAAAAATTAGCCAGGTGTGGTGGCAGGTGCCTGTAGTCCCAGCTACTCGGGAGGCTGAGGCAGAATGGTGTGAACCCGGGAGGCGGAGCTTGCAGTGAGCCGAGACCACACCACTGCACCCCACCCTGAGTGACAGAGTGAGACTCCATCTCAAAAAAAAAAGAAAAGAAAAAGAAACATTGCTCCTTTTCCTCTGTATCATTGGAGACATTGGACATAATTGGGGTAAACAGGGGCTTCCCTCTGAACCTAGGCCACCCAATGGGAAACTGACAGTTCCCTTATAAGGGTCACGCTTAGCCACTTGGAATTTGGCTTTTTGCCCTCTGGTTGGTGATTTTAAGACATGAAAGAAAATGCCATTTATTTCACTGTTAAATATGCATTTTAAAGCAAAGTTATATATATACATAATTTAAAAATTCAGGCTGGGCACAGTAACTAATGCCTGTAATCCCAGTGCTTTTGGAGGCTGAGGTAGAAGCATCACTTGAGGCTAGGAGTTTGAGACCAGCCTGGGAAATATAGTGAGACCCTGTGTCTACCCAGAAAAAAAAAAAAAAAATTAGCCAGGTGTGGTGATGCATGCCTGTGGTCCCATCCACACAGGAGGCTGAGGTGGGAAGATTGCTTGAACCCAGGAGTTTGAGGCTGCAGTGAGCTATGATCATGCCACCTCACTCCAGCCTGGGTGACAGAGAGAGACCTTGTCTCAAAAAAAAAAAAAGTCAAAGGCTGTAGAAGGGCTTATGATGACAAGCAACCCCATCTCCTCCCCACCCCCAGGTGATACATAGTTTCCAGTGACAGGGAAGTGCTGGGAAGGGAAGAGCACGGTCCCTTTAAATAATACGGAAGTGGGGAAGGGAAGTGCTGCGTAGAGGAGGGCGTGGTCCCTGGCTAGGGCTCCACCCTCACAGACCTAGGTAAGGACAGGCATTTCCTGCCCAAATGTTGCATTTCCCAAGACCATCCTGGCCTACCACGCCCCCATCCTGGGCCTATAAAAACCTGAGACCCAGGTGGGCACGTGGTGGCTCATGCCTGTAATCCCAGCACTTTGGGAGGTCGAGGCGGGAAGATCACCTGAAGTGGGGAGTTCAAGACCAGCCTGACCAGGCTGAAGCAGGAGAATTGCTTGAACCTGGGAGGTGGAGATTGAGGTGAACCGAGATCGCACCATTGCACTCCAGCCTGGGCAACAAAAGCAAAACTCCACCTCAAAAAAAAAAAAAAAAACCTAAGACCCTATCGGGCAGACAGGCAGACGTTGAGAGGAGCACATGGGTGGAAGAGACAAGCAGCTGGATGTCCTTGAGAGGACATGGAGAGGAGCACACCAGTGGAAGAACACACGGTCAGGCACCAGCACCCTGGCCGGCCATTGACCAGCAAAACAATGCGGAGCTGGGATGGAGCAGTCCGAGAAGAGTGGGGCGTCCACCTGGCCCGACTCCAGGGGAAAACCATCTCCCTTCTGGCTCCTTCATCTGCTGAGAGCTACTTCCTCTCAATAAAACCTTGCACTCATTCTCCAAGCCCACGTGTGATCCGATGCTTGTGGTATACCAAGGCAAGAAACTGTGGGATACAGAAATCTCTCTGTCCTTGTGATAAAGCAGGGGCTCTAATTGAGTTGGTTAACACAAGCCGCCTATAGACGGCAAACTAAAAGAGCACCCTGTAACACACGCCCACTGGGGCTTCAGCTGTGAACACTCACCCCTAGACACTACCATGGGGTCAGAGCCCCCACAGCCTGCCTGTCTGTATGCTCCCCTAGAATTTCAGCAGTGAGGCACTGAAGAGGTGAGCCACACCCCCAATGCACACCCTGCGACGGGGACAGGGGAACCTTGCCCGTTTGACCAGGACTCAGGAAATGCTTGTTGATTGACACCTTAATATTTCTACTTATCAGCTCAGAACCTAATGATGTAGAAGTGGAGCTTTTCCTCTTTCATTTTATTCAACATCACTTGTGAAATGTGGGGTTTATGCTGGGTGGAGGAATAAGACAAAGATGAATTAAACATGGTCTTCCCACCTTGAAATCATCTTTGTCTAGCGGCCGGAGGGCTGGGCATTGGGCATTAAAACGGATATTTATAACGCCAGAAAGAAGGACATAACTGGCAAAATACAAGTACCAGTGAGTATTTTGGGAATCCAGTGAAAGCTCCCAGGGGCTTAGGATGGGAGGAGTTGGGTGGGGCATGGGCCGCTGGGCACCAACATTTCAGCCAAACCTTGAAGAATGGTAGGGAAGACATGAGCCAGTTCTTGTAAGTGGAAAATTTCTGGAATGCTGGGGGAAAGCATGCTGGAGTCCAGACCAGAGAGGGCCAGAAACTCTATGACCTTCATCCTCCATCCCCTGGGGAGCCGTATTTCAAAGGGCCTAGATTTCCTCATCTATTAGATGGGAAAAATAATACCAGCCAGATTACATGAGTTAACACACATAGAGTACTTGCCACAGTGTCTGGAAAATAATCAACTCAATAGATCTTAGCTAAGAACCCTAATTCCTTCCTGCATCCCCCACCCCACCTACCACAGACATTCCTGACTGCAGTCCCTTTTCCCCCCAAGTTCAAAACAGCAGACTGTCTCACCAAGATCCTCACCTGAGCTAAAGGAGGTGCTTGTTACCGGAAGGCACTGGCATCTGAGAACAGGCAGGGCCTGTGCTCCAGGAAGTCTCTTTCCAGGGGTGTCTGGTGCATGTCTGCTCAGGAACCCCTACCTGCAGGACTGCCTCCCCAGTGACAACTAGTTCGGGGCTTCTAAAGCAGATGCACAGGTCTGAACCCATGAGGTGGTGTCTGCACAGATAAGTATTCCCTCTGCGCAGCTTCCATGAAGGCTGGTTGGAAGAGTGATTTTTTTGCAAGTGGTATGTTAGCTTCATGGAGTTGCTGCCTTTAGTCTTTGTCTTCTTATTAGAACTACTGGTTTGACCTCAACCCAAAGCTCCAGGTATGAGTCAGACTGTGTACCCTGCCCCTCCCCAGCATGGCATAGGGAGAGAGAGAATGACTCGTAGGTCTGGCAGGTCCCTAAAAGTGACCTCGTCTGATCAATGAGGCGATGACTGACTAACCTCCCTCCTAGGAGACTGTCTAGTATCTGCTAGCATACCTCCAGCGATGGGGGTCTCACCACCACTCCAACCCCATCATTCCATAGGTGAATAGCTCAGACTGAGACAAATCTTTTATGTTGAGCCGAAATCTATCCATCTGGGGAAGGGTTAATGAGACAATCGCTAGGCCCTCCTTGTCAGCCCTCCCGATTCCTGCTTCCCCCACTCCCCCACTCTGCCTAGAAGCATTAATTCCATTATCAAACGGTCAGCCCTGGGGAATGAACTTTTAAAGGCTTAAAGCAAGGTAGGTTAATTAAAATCTTTGATCAAAGTCCCATAAACAGCATAAAACTCCTCTCTCTTAATTATCCTGGATGGTCTTACAAGCATTAAAGCCAAAGGGGAGAAGATGAAGAGGCAGGGAGGCGAGGAGCTGGGAGGAGAATATTCCAGAAAGCAACAGCCCCAGGCCGAGGCCACCAGATTGCTGCTGCCATCAGGGCCCCACACTGGGCAATCCAGGGGAAGCCAAGAAACCTACCCTTGCTTAGCTAACATTTACCCACAAAGCACTTCCTAGATCAGTTGCTCTGCCAGATGCCAGGAGTAGTGGAAGAAATACCCAGATCCTCCCCTGAGAAGGGGCCAGGGTCCTCTGGGAGAGACCCCAAGAAGAGCAGGCAGGCGGGAGGAGACTGCATAGCGGGAGTTCCTGGCCCAGCCCGGGAGGGTCAAGGAAGGCCTCCAGACGAGGCGGCCTGGAGCTGGGACTGTGTGCTGGAGTCAGTGATCTAAGTGTCAGGCAGAGTGGAGCAGCCTGGAGGTGAGGAGGTGCTGGGTAGGAGTGGGAGGAGGGCTGTCGAGTAGGCAGTGGTAAGAGATAGAGAGGGGAGCAGGGTGGGGGCACGGAGCACATGGTGTTGAGGACAGTTTCCAGAGGCAGTGGGGATCACCGAGCTGTTTGAGTATCTCTCCAGTCTCATCTCTCACCACTGCCTAATAGAAAGGCCAGTCTACATCGTAGGGAGAATGGGTGGGCATGGGGAGAGCGAGCCGGGGGAAGGAAGCCCAGGTTGCTGACATTGTCCAGGTGAGAGAAGGTACTGCCCAATCTCAGGTAATGGCAGGAGAGGGGGTGAGGGGGGAGAAGTAGATGGATTCGAGAGATGTTTGGGACAAGTCAGCAGAATCCAGGTGATGGCCAGGCTTCCTTCTGAGGTGTCTGGGTGGGCGATGGCCCTCACTGAGAAGGAGAGTAGGTTGAGGGCTGGAGGTTTAGTTTTGGACACTTTGGGTGTGATGGGCCAGTGATCAACTCACATTCCCACCTCTCCCACCCACCCACCCTCAACTAAAACCCTTGATGACTACCCACATCTCTCAGGAAGAAGTCCAGAATGCTCAGGAGGGCTCTCTGGGCCCCACTGGACCTGGCCCAGGGCTCTCCCTGCAGGCTTACACTGCGCCTTCCCTTCCTGGCCAGCTTCTCTCCAGCCATAAGGACACTTGGTCTGATCTATAAGTGCCCCAGGCAGCTTTCTACCTCAGGGCCTTTGCACATTCTCTTCCCTGGGACTGGAATGCTCCTTCTCTCCGTCTCTCCCTCCACTCATTCTTCAGGCCTCACTTTTATCATCTGACTCACAAGGAAGGCTTCTCTGACTTCACCCCATCAAGGACCAGAGAGCTGGTTAAAAGTACAGACTCCCTAGCCCCACTCCACTCTATGCCCAGATTCTGATTCAGCAGCTCCTGATGGGGGCCTAGGATTCTGCATTTTAGCAAGCCTCCCAGGTGGTTCCAAAGCCATAATCCACAAACGAAGATCTGAGAAGCCCTGCACTGCAACGTCCTGCCTCCCCTGGCAGGAAACCTCAGCCACTGCGTAGCTCAGAGGGCAGCCATGGAGCCTCAGCTGCACCCTCCACTCTCCATATTCTCCATTCCATTTGACATACATGTCAATCATTAACATGATATGATGTTGATTGTAAAAATACTTTTAGATGTGAGAAACTCATGCTTTTGTAGACTTATGTAAAATATTAATAAGAGCATCCTTAGAAAACTCTGCTATTTTTATTGATCGGTATTAACACACAATCCAAATAAAATCAACATCCTTTCTCTGGAATTACAACTTCAAAGGACTACTCTGGCCCTCACCTCCTAATCAGATGGTTCTCCTTCCACCTCTGTGTATAGAAATTCTGACATGATGATGTTGAAATTTCCCTAAGCCCTGTGTTTTGCAAAAACAGTGATGGTTAAGAAGTACCCACATCCCTTCTGTGTTTGGGAAAACAGCTCACTGCAAAGAACCACCCTCCCCCATATGACTTAGATAAGACTAGCGAATGACCACCTTGTTAACCCGGGACAAGGCCAGACACGGACTTTCTAAATTCCCATTCTTTTTCTCATAAATGGTTGGCTGAATTGTTTGTCCTCCTGAAGCCAGCTAGACAGAGAGAAACATTTTCTGTTCAGCTGATTGATGAAGACTCTCTGAATACAAAAACAATCCTAACTGTAATATCACCCTACCTATAACTTGGCTATTCCTCCCTCTAAACGTCTATAAACCACCCTGAAGACACACTCTCATCTTCGGATCTCGGGTGCGCTCCATATTACATAAATAAAATCCATTTCCCTATGTGTTTGGTTTTGTCTTTGACAGGCACCACCACAGTTGGTATCTATATTTTGAGAAGATGGCTGACTGCCAAAATCAGAACAGGGAACAGGGACAAGGTCCCATGATGACCTCCAATTGGACCACTGGTTATTGCCTAGAGATGGGGGTTTCTGTGTCCAGGGGTCAAGGGCTATGTGAGCCTTTCTCTGAGTTCAGCAGTGAAGGGATGATGGGGCAGGTTGGGGAAGGCAAGGCATGGCACAGCAGGGGATCATGGGAGGAAAGGGTTCCGCAGACCCAAAGAAGCAGGGGCCAAGGGTCCAGACCTCCCTCTAGGCAGGTCCATTTCTAAGCACCCTGCAGCCAGGGCAGAGGCTGTGTGGCTGCTTCCTCTGGCAGTCACAGACAAATGGGAAATCAAAGCTTTCCTGAATCGCCACCATCCTATCTCAAATCCTGTATTGTGTCTGGCCATAGGAGTCTGCAGCCACCAAGAGAAGGTTCTGAATGAACGATACTCACTCTTCCCTGTCTTTGCTCAGGCTGCTTCCTCCACCTCAAATAAGCCTGCCCCTTCTCTTCAGGTCCTGCCCACTCTTGTAGGACTGATTCAAACACCTCCTCCTCCAGGAAGCCCTCCTGGCTGTTTCCCCATCTGAAATCTGAAATCTGGGGACTGTTCCTCCTCCAGTCCTCAGTTCTCCAATAGCACTGCAGTCTAGCCTTTACCAACATCTGCTGAGTCCCGTGAGGCAGCATTGCAGAGTGGGAAACCAGCAGGTCTTGGAACCAGAATGTGGGTTCAAATCTCCACTTAACTTCTAGGTGCCCTGTGGCCTTGAGCAAGTTGCTCAATTCCCACTGAGCCTCTGTTTTCTTGTCTGTAAAATGGGGATGACAAGCCATACAGGACCACCTGGGGATCTTGTTTGGCTAGGCATTCAGATTCAGGGGCCTGGGATGAGCCTGATTGTCTTTCTAAGAAGGTCTCAGGCAAAGCTGCAGCTACTGGTCCAGGGCCACACTTCCAGTAGCAAGACATCTTACATCCAGTTCCTGTGAGGAACACAGAGAGTGCTTTAAAAGGCCAAGCTCATATTAGCAGCTAAATAAGTGGGAGGCTTTATTAATACTATTATCATCTCCATCACCTGTGCCTGACATGCAGCTGGTGCTGGAAATAATGGTAGCTAGTTATCTCCCCTGCTACCTGCAAGTGTCTGGAGGGCAGGAAACGTGCCTAATTCCTCCATCAAAATGCCTTGCGCGTAGAAAGCTAAAAACCACGCTGCTGTGAAGGAAACAGCAAAGTCGCTTCTATCAGTCTTTGCAAAGGGGTCTGTCCTGTGTTCTGTGCATGACCGAGGAGAGACGCTGCCCACCGTCTGCCACACCCCAACCACTCTGTCCTGTAGGCCGAGTGCCAGCTTCCCCCAAAGCCTCCATCCTCAGAAGCCAGTTTCTCACGGAAAATGAGCTCCCTGCCTCCGCGCATCTGTACACTGAGGAAAACAGTTGGCTTCATAACCTTGAGGGGGAAAAAAGACAAATAAAGGAGTCTCCAGAGATTTATCAGAGACCACAGGAAGCTGTAAAACATATGTTGCAGCATATTGATCTTTGACAAACTCCAGCAACAGAGGAAGTCCTTTCCCGCCTACACTGCCTAATGAGGACCTAGGGGCAGAGTCCTCCTCCCCTCTCCCCCTAGCAGGGTTCCATCTGTGAGCCTCCATCTCAGGCCTGTCAAGCCGGCTGGAGATGAATCCACACCCAGCTGAGAGCCCCTTCTGCCTCCAAGGCCCTGAGATGCAGGTGCGAAGCCCATGCGCCAGCATTCCCAGCCCTCAGTGGCACAGCCCAGTTTGTTCCCCGGGTGCTTTGGAGCCCTGCCTTCAAGAGCCATGAGGTTACTTAGGTCCATTGCCCCAGAAATGGGTAGGGCAGTTGCAGCTTGGAACAAGTACTTCTCTACCCTGGTTACCCATTTGAATCCCTTCGGGAGCCTTAAAAATATATGGATGCCTGGAACCCACTGTCAGGAATTCTGAATTCTGGGGTGCTGCCTGAGCATCAGGGTTTTTAAAAGCTCTCCAAGTGATTCTAATGAGCACCCCACAGTGCAAACCCAGGAATAAGTGTATTGCTCATATTTTACTTTCAAAATGGAGCTTTTAAAGACCTCCCTGTAACAATAGTCAAAGTATTTTTTATTTGCAAGAGAAAGAGTTTTCTTTGCAAATGCCATCAAAACAAAAAAACAAAACAAAGCCAAAGCCTCTAAAGCCAAGATCACAGAGTTGAGAGGATGCTAAACAGGAGGCGAGAGCAGTTTTTCCACTCAAAAACAAATCAAATTCTCTTAGAAGAAGAGAGAAATTTGGCCGAGCACAGTGGCTCACGCCTGTAATCCCAGCACTTTGGGAGGCCGAGGTGGGTGGATTGCTTGAGGTCAGGAGTTCAAGACCAGCCTGGCCAACATGGTGAAACCCCATCTCTCCTAAAAATACAAAAATTAGCTGGACGTGGTGGCGTGCACCTGTAGTCCCAGCTACTCAGGAGGCTGAGAAAGGAGGATCACTTGAACCCAGGAGGCAGAGTTTGCAGTGAGCCGAGATCACGCCACTACTCCAGCCTGGGCAACAGAGTGAGACTCCATCTCAAAAAAAAAGGAAGAGAGAAATTTGAAAGATCAAGCAAGGTGGCCATAGATTTTTCCTTGGCCCCCAGAAAAGGCTGGGAGCAGAGTGTCTTTTGTCTGCTTCCCACCCAGAACCCTGGCAGCCACTGAGAGGAATGAGGGGTGATATCAAGAGAGTACAAGTGGTAGCTGAGAAGGGGGTGTGGAGGAACCCTCTTCCTGAGTTGTTCTCACCTCCTGTGTGGTTCAGAGACCCGGCCGGGCTGGACTCTAAAGACTGTTATTGCAGTCCAACCTCCCAGGCCTCTGCAGCTCCTATTCCAGCCAGGGTGGGGTCTGGACAGCAGGGAACACTACTAGCAGCAGCAGCAGCAGCAGCAGACACAGCCGGTGCAGAGGCTGCCCCCAAGGACCAAGGTGCCAAAGAGTAGTATCGAGACCAAAGGAATGGGAGTGGGTGCAGGAGGTGAGACCGTGTCACCTGGAAGTGACTGAGCAAGAAGTTACTTTGAATAAAAAATTGGCTTGTTTCTGCTGAGTGGAAATGGTAGAAATTCAGGACCAAGCTAAGCTTGGTTATAAAAAAAAAATGAAGAAAGTTACATTTCTGCTGCACATCTGAGTGTAACTATAAATCTTAAATCCACTGTGAGGTCCATTCAGAAATGAAGAAATATACACGGCCAATGAATAGGAAGAGATGCTCAGCCTCAGCAGTAATCCAAGAAACACAAATCAAAACACTGGCAATGCACCATTTGGGCCTCTCGGCTGGGAGGCATTTTAAAATCTAATACCTGTATCAGCAAAGGTAAAGAAGCCAGGTTCTGACAAATTGATGGTGAAATGCACGTTATCTTTCTGAGGGACAACTGGGTAATAAGAATTAAAAGAATTCTAAGTATACTTTTGGTGTAGCAATTCTAGGAATTGATCCTGAGGAAATAATCAAGAATCACAGAAAACTTTGGGAGCTTTAAAAATATACAGATGCCTGGAACCCGCCGTCAGGAATTCTGAATTCTGGGGTGCTGTTAGAGGGTTGTCCATTAGAGTTTCTATCATGATCCTGAAAAATCAGTGGACAAAACCCAAATAGCCAATGACTTAGGGCTGGACAAAAATACACTACACTGTAAAATATTTCAAGAAATAATATGAACCATTACAATAATTTTTTTTTTTTGAGACGGAGTTTCGCTCTTGTTGCCCAGGCTAAAGTGCAGTGGCGCAATCTCGGCTCACCGCAACCTCCACCTCCCGGGTTCAAGCAATTCTCCTGCCTCAGCCTCCTGAGTAGCTGGGATTACAGGCATGCACCATCACGCCCGGCTAATTTTGTATTTTTAGTACAGACGGGGTTTCTCCATGTTGGCCAGGCTGGTCTCAAACTCCCGACCTCAGGTGATCCACCTGCCTCAGCCTTCCAAAGTGCTGTGATTACGGGCATGAGCCACCATGCCCAGCCCCATTAAAATCATTTTAGAAATATGTTTAGAGACTTGGAAAGGTGTTCACATTAAGATTAAAAATAGTGTGTTTATTGATTTCCAATCATTGCATACATATATAATATAGTGAGAAAGAATTAATATATATGAAGTAATGGAAGGACCTACCTCTGTAATATTAACAATCATTTTTCCTAAGTAAGAGCATTATTACTGTGGTTACATTTATTTTCTTTCTTTCTTTCTTTCTTTTTTTTTTTTTTGAGACAGAGTCTCCCTCTGTCACCCAAGCTGGAGTGCAATGGCATGATCTTGGCTCACTGCAACCTCCGCCTCCCGAGTTCAAGTGATTCTCCTGCCTCAGCCTCCCAAGTATCTGGGACTACAGGTGCACACCACCACACCTGGCTAATTTTTGTATTTTTAGTAGAGACAGGGTTTTACCACATTGGCCAGGCTGGTCTCAAACTCCTGACCTCAGGTGATCCACCCGCTTCAGCTTCTCAAAGTGCTGGGATTATGTGTTATTTTCTTAATTATATTTTCTAATTTTGCTACAGTAAACATGTATTATTTGTAATTTTAAAAAGTTAAAGTTGGCGCAGGTTAAACACATGCATTTAGCACTGCTCTATCTCAAGCCTCACTAAAATAACAATAAAAGGATTTCTTTTAAGTCATAAGCCCATTAGGTTTTAAAAGGTAAGTGAAAGGATATAACTACAACAAAATTTTGGAAGCAGGAAAGCAGCTGGAGGAGCAGTTGGAAGGGCTGTAACTAAGAAATCTGCTTCTCAATCAAGAGTAAGAAAAGCCAACAGGCAACCTGGATTACATCTCAGACCACCTGCCCCCACTACCATAGTCTGCTGGAAATGTAGATTAACATGTGACAGAAACAAAGCCATTAGTTGAGAGTCTGTGTAAGAAGATCGCAAGTCCCTTTTTCCTCACCCCTGCAGAGAACTGAAGCTTTAGTCTCTGGAAGGTCTATTCTCTAGGGAAAGGAAAAAAAATAGAGGCACTGAAGCACCCCAGATACAGCAGAGAGCAGGGAGAATTAGTAAAGGTTTGCAGACTCAGTGCGGAACCCCACCTCCCAGACTTCTTCTCGCCCTCAGCTCCCAGATTGCTAGGCAGGACATGGAAATGATCTCCAGGTCATCTGACAATCTCCAAAGGAAAAACCTAGAGATACCAACATTGAGATGCCCAGAGACCAGCTACGTGAAGCTCACAATTGACAAGCTGTATCCATAAGCGCAGCTTCCAGTTAGCTTTCAAATATGAGCTGGAACTAAGGCTCCCCAGACAGTTGAGGAGAACTTTAATGTGAAAGACAGAAACTTAAATAAGCATGGGAAAAAGAGCAGCTTGGAGGAGGCAGAGACCTTGCAGGAAAAGGGAAACTTAAAGAGAGAGAAAACTATCCATCACAGTAGTGTAAACCAAAAGTATCTGAGACAGGTCTCAATCAATTTAGGAAGCTTATTTTGCAAAGGTTAAGGACACAGCCTCAGGAGATCCTGAGGACGTGTGCCCAAGGTGGGCAGGGAACGGCTTCGTTTTATTCATTTAGGGAGACATGAGACATTAATCACTACATATAATATGTACATTGGATCCATCTGGAAATGTGGGACAACCAGGGTGGGGCTTCCAAGTCATAGATGGATTCAAAGACTTTCTGACTGGCAATTGGTCAAAAGAGTTATTCTCAATAGAGAGGAATGGCTGGGTGCGGAGGCTCATGCCTGTAATCCCAGCACTTTGAGAGGCTCAGGCAGGCGGATCATGAGGTCAGGAGATTGAGACCATCCTGGCTAACATGGTGAAACCCCATCTCTACTCAAAATAAAAAAAACTAGCCAGGAGTGGTGGCGGGCACCTGTAGTCCCAGCTACTCAGGAGGCTGAGGCAGGAGAATGGCATGAACCCAGGAGGTGGAGCTTGCAGTAAGCCGAGATTGCACCACTGCACTCCAGCCTGGGTGATAGAGCAAGACTCTGTCTCAAAAAAAAAAAAAAAAAAAAAAATCACTAGAAAGGAATGTCTGGGTAACCATAAGGGGTTGTGGAGACCAAGGCTTTATCATGCAGACAAAGACTCCAGGTAGCAGGATACAGAGAGAATAGACTGTAAATGTTTCTTCTCAGATGTACAGAGTCTGTTCTATCCATAATTCCAAAAGGGCAGAGGGGATAATGAGGCATGTCCAGCTCCCTCTTCCCATCATGGCCTGAACTTGTTTTTCAGCTTAACTTTGGAATGCCCTTGGCCAAGAGGAGGGGTCCCTTTAGATGGCTGTGGGGGTCTTAGAATTTTATTTTTGGTTTGCAGAGAGGAAAGATTGCTGTAAAAAAATAATGAGGCCAGGCGCAGTGGCTCACGCTTGTAATTCCAGCCTTTTGGGAGGCTGAAGCAGGCAGATTATGAGGTCAAGAGATCAAGACCATCCTGGCCAACATGGTGAAACCCCATCTCTACTAAAAATATAAAAAATTAGCCAGGCATGGTGGCTCACGCCTGTAGTCCAGCTACTCGGGAGGCTGAGGCAGGAGAACCACTTGAACCCAGGAAGCAGAGGTTGCAGTGAGCCGAGATCATGCCACTGCACTCCAACCTGGTGACAAAGTGAGATTCTATCTCAAAAAAACAGAAAATGGCACCGATTAAAAAAAAAGAATGAAATAACATAAACATCAAAAAACTTCTAAAATTATCAAATAGCTTCTAAAATTATGCAGAAATGAAAAACTCATTAGGATAGACGATAGAGTGAAGAGATATCTCCCAAAAGACAAAAAGGTGGAAAGGAGAAAAATATGTTAGCAGACATGTCCAGAAGGTATAATATTTAAACAAAAGGAATTTCAGAAAGGGGACCTGAGAAAATGATGAAAGGAACAATTGACTAAAAATCCCAAAACTGAAGGATCCACATTGAAAGGAAAATAATTACCAACCTATAAGTCTTTACCCAGCAAAGCTACCAATTATGTGTAAAGGTCAAATGAAGATATTGTCAGACATGCAAGATGTCAAAAGTCTATCTTCCAGGCACTGTTTCTCATGAAAACAGCAGAGATGGGTTGGTCCCCAATAAGCAGGGTAAACAGAGAAAGAGATACAGGGGACAGAGTACACAGGAGATCCAACCCAGGAGACAGGCAAAGAGAATCTCCACAATGATGTGATGGAAGGTCCCAGATGTCAACTAAGCAGCAGGCTGGGAGAACACCCACCTCTGACAGGCTGGTTAGGGGTTTCTTCAGGAAAATGAAACATATAGTATATCTGTCTGAACACCTTCTGGGGAAATCTAGACAATTGGCAGAGAGCTTGGCATTGGATTATTGGAAAATCCACAGAAAACGAGAGAAATGAAAGACCCAGGACAGTTATGAATTGCATGGAAGATGAAAGGCTGGGCCATCATAGTATGCAGAAAAGTAATCGTGGCCAGGTGCAGTGGCTCATGCCTGCAATCCCAACACTTTGGGAGGCTGAGGTGAGTGGATCATTTGAGGTCAGGAGTTTGAGACCAGCCTGGCCAATACGGTAAAACCCCGTTTCCACTAAAAATACAAAAATTAACTGGGCATGGTGGTGCATGCCTGTAATCCCAGCTACTTAGGAGGCTGAGGCAGGAGAATCACTTGAACTGGAGAAGTGGAGGTTGCAGTGAGCTGAGATCATGCCATTGCACCCAGCCTGGGTGACAGAGTGAGACCCTGTCCCAAGGGGAAAAAAAAAGAAAGAAAAAGTAATCATAGGACACTGCACGTTCCTGCTATAAAAGCACTTACATAGGGATTGTAACATAAACCTGGTGGTGATCTCACCAAAATCTTCACCATGTTTTGGGAGGAAAGAGAATGGGGGAAGAGCAGTGAGAAGAAAAAAGAGCTAAATCCATCTTATTCACAGTAGGAAACCAGGAGATAGTGCCCAACACTACACAATATAGAAATAGCTGCAAGATTATTATATAAAGCAAAGAGATCAATACCACAAGAATGGGCTAAAATCTTGAAAGTTCTTGCCTCCAGGGATGAGAAAGAGGGAGGACGGTTTCCAATAACAAGCCTCATAGACCTATCAGGGTCTTCAAATTTGGTATATGTATAAATTGGATAAAAACTAAAACAAATTATCCCTTTTTTAACTTGGGCAATGGAACTAAAGGCTTTCTGAAATTGCCTTTACCTATAACAGTGCAGGGCTCAAAGTGATTTCTTATTTTTAGGAAACACAATAGGCAGTTTTCTTGAACTCTGAGGTCTTCTGGCATCCCTTGCTGTTTGTGAAATGACTCCCTTAAGTGAAGAAATAGATCAGAGTCACATTCCCTGTGTATTGAGTTTGGGTGCGTTTTGGCATGTCCCTGCCACTGAGCCCTGTGAATCGATGTAAAGCACAGGACTAATGAGATCCTGGTGCACATCAGCTGCCCCTCAGTCACCCCCAACTCCTTCCCTAGACAGGCCTTGGACTCCAGCAAATCAAGGGCAGCTCATGCCCCTTGCTGGGGGCTCTCCTAGCCCCCTCCTCCATCACCCACTATGCATATTCCTGAGGCTGCAATGAATGTTCCCAGAGATTGTTGCAGGAATCAAGGGACAAGAGAGACCAATGGGTGAGACAGGAGGATTTATTAGGTGTGCACCAGCCCAGTGGATTAGCATCCAAAGGCTGAGCCCTGAACAAAGACAGGGCTTGACTTTTATATATGCATCCAAAAGGGGACTGGCCAGTTTGATGGCAGAAAACCCGTAGGGCAGGCAAGCAAGCTTACAGAAGCAGAACAAAGGCAGTGGGTCAAACAGTGACAAGTTTTGCAACTCAAACATACCTTGTGAACTTGCACAGAAGGGAAACACATGAACTTATAAAACTTGCAAAAATAATTATGAGAATAGTAAGGGGAAACGGGGAAGCTGAAAGAGAAAAAACTTGTTTTTCTCATCCCTGCTCCAGGACAGGAGGGAGAGGCTCTGGAGCCCATCCCTTCTGGGCCCTGGCTCTGCAGATAGTGCTATCAGAGCCCTGACAGAGCCCTGCCCATCTCTGGGCCTTGGAGTGAGTCAGCCTAGTACAGGAAAATTTGTTTTTCTTTTTATAACTTCTGCTTCAAGATGGCCTAGAACCCATCTAATCAGGCACCTGTCTTGTCTCCACCACCTGCTCACCACCAGTTTTTGTGGCCACTTCACATCCACAGTGAGTGCTGGGGGCTGCGGCCTTGGGCCAAGTCACTGCCAGGAAAGTGCTTGGCAGCTTCCAGCCAGGGAGCAGGTGGCAACAGCAACCACCCAGCAAGGCCACCCAGCAAACCCAGCAGCAGGAGTTTTCTCCACTGTTGAGCTAGCATTTATTACTCTTAAAATAAAGTGGTGCCATGCAGCATGAATTCAGGAGAAGAAGCTGCAAATTCCAGGCCCTTTTGAAGGCTTGTTTTCACAATGAATTAATAGGCTTTAATTTAACACTGCATCAACAAACCAGGCTGCTGAAGGAATTCCAAATACTAGCGGCTTTCTGCACCCATTCTGGCTCTCAGCTGCCACCACAGGACTGCAGCAACATTATTCATCACTGTGCAAGATAATAACAGTAATAGCTAATATTTATTGAGTGCTTACTATGTGTCAAGCATTGTGTTCAACGCTTTACAAGCATTATTGCACTTAATCTTCACAAAAAGCCTCTGAAGTAGACATTATTATTACCTTTATTTTATAGAAGAGAAAATAAGCTTATGAAGGTGAAGTTGCTTAAGGTCACATAGGTAGAAAGTGGTAGAACCAAAGTGTGAACCCATGTACTGATAGAAGTCCCCAGGAAATGTTGTTTGCTGGGATCCAGGTGCCCTAAACTCACCACTTTGTGACCAGGTCTTTTCCTTTTGCTCGCCAGACCTCTAAATTAGATGAAACTTATCAGCCTTAAATATAAAGTATAAAACAGGCTGATTCAATTTGATTATAATGCAACTGTCTGAAGTAGGAGTAAATGTTCTGCTTGAAATATAAAAGAAATATCATTTAAAAGGACTCCTGGGCTACTTGTGCCTCAACAGCCATGCTGTTTACATCTATTTCAGTATTTATGAGGGCAGTCCCTGGCTGTCCTCATAAAGAGTTAGAATCAGTCCCATGACCAGCTCTCTGAGACAGCTTTGGCTTTGACCTTGCCAAGGTTCTCAAACAGAGTTGCTGTCTAACCTGGCTATACATAGTCCCACCTGCTCAGCAACCTGCGGGCAGCCAGTGCCTCCTCCCCACATCCAAGGAGCGGATGTAAAAAACATCTGGTGGATCACAAGGGTAAGAGATAGAGACCATCCTGGCCAACATGATGAAAGCCTGTCTCTGCTAAAAATACAAAAATTAGCTGGTCATGGTGGTACACACCTGTAGTCTCAGCTACTCGGGAGGCTGAGGCAGAAGAATTGCTTGAACCCAGAAGGCGGAGGTTGCAGTGAGCCGAGATCATGCCACTGCACTCCAGCCTCATGACAGAGCAAGACTCCATCTCAAAAAGAAAAAAAAAAAAAAAGAAATCTGCAACTCAGCAATACCTCAGGGAGCATCTTTTTAGTCTCTTATAGTCATGACATATTTTGTGACACAGATTTTCTACTTTTCCCCACAAAGGGCCCCAAAAACTCTTCTGATATGTGATCACAGACAGAAAACCTCTCTGAACTTTTTTGGAAAAATAGCTCATTATTGAACTGCAGCACTGAGTTTGTAAAATAATTTGGAAGGAAGGGGAAGTATGTGCTCCTCTCTTCTCCCCTCTCCTGTCCTCTCCTGTACATACCTCCCCTTTCTGCCAAACCACAATAAAATGACAGAAGAAGAATAAATATAAGAATAGCTTATAACTGCCTTGTAAAACAAGGAGGAATACCATTGATAAAAAGATATTTATCACTGAACAGTAAAGAATCAAAACATAGGGAAAAAAAGCTTTTCAGAAAAATGAAGAGATAAAATTACTAGCCTATTGACATTAACATACCTCTGCCCCCCAAAGAGAGAGAGAACTCAGTTATAATTATAATTAACAAATATGATTCAGTAGATATGTAGAGGACTTCATAACTTATAATGAAAGCATTGAATGTTTACAAAGACTGACCAGGATAAATGCATAAAGAAAATTTCAGTACATGCCAAAAAATGTAGGACATTAACAAGGAATCTTCTCTGGCTAGAAAAGAATAAAACTAGAAACATTTAACAAAAGAATAATATCAGAAAACTAACCACAAAAAAATTTGAAAAGCACTGTTCAAAGGTAACTAAAATTACAGGTCACTTAAAAATTAAAGACACAAAGATCACTATATATAAAATCCCAGGGGATGAAGACCAAAGCCCAGCTCAAAGAAAAAGTGATCACCCAAAATACTTTTATTCTCAAACAAAAAGAATGAAAACAAATCAACCAAGCTTTCAATTCAATAAGTTAGATGACAAACCATGAGATTTTTTAAGGTAGATGAAATATTTAATCTTTGTAGTTGAAAGCAAGAAAGAATGAATTAAAAAGAAACACAATATCTATGAAGCTCAACAAACTAAAAACCTGGTTATCTGGAAATTCTGGTAAAATGTACCAAAAATTGGCATGTAAAGGATAAAAGAAAGGAAACACAAATACCTCATATTTTTTAAAAGTGAATAGAGATTATAAAGGAGATTTAAGTTTACCAGAGAATACTAGATACAATATTGCCAATAAATTTGAAATAATGATTTTCCTGGAAAATAAAAATTTCGTGCTTGCGATACCCTAAAACTTAAAGTATAATTAAAAAAAAGAGAGAAGAAGAACCAGCCAGTGCACTTGTACCAGCTGGTCATCGTTGGGCCATGCTCACAAAAAAAAAAAAAAGAAAAAAAATGAAAAGAAAAATTTCGAACTTGACTTGGCATGAAGCAAGAGTCTGAGAAGATTGGGGAAGCACCGAAGAAACTGATCGAATTGCCCAAAAAACACCACAAAAAAATAGTGGCACAGTCAAAGGCTTTATGGGGAATGTCTATTAAACATTCAAGGACTGAATGTACCCAGTGTAATTTAAACTGTTCCACAGGACAGGGAAACATGGAAAGAGTCTCAAATTATTCTAGGAGATAAGCAAAATCCTGAAAATGACAGCATGCAAACACAGCATGCATACCTGCAGGCACACACACACCAAGAATTTATAAACCAGTTCACTTATGAATACAGATGCAGCAATTCTAAATAAGATATTAGCACATTAAATTTAGCAGTGCATTAAAAGAAACCTTCAGCATGTACAACTAGGATTTATTCTAACAATACAAGGGTTATCCAACACCAGCAAAAATATTAACATAATTTACTATAATCGTAGGTTACAAAAAATTCTACTGATGGACTGCTTCTAGGACAATGAGGGTAGACATGCTTTTGCCTATTCCTCCTGTGAGGCACAACGAAAATCCCTGAGCATACAGGCATAAATAGATATAAGAAGACTCTGAAAGGTGGAGAGAAGAAGGTTAACTGACTTGGGAGTTTCAGACCCAAGGAACAACATGATGGTGAGTTTCCTGAGCTACAGTTCTGCCTCATGTGTCCCAGACTTAGAGCTGAAGAAGCCAGCCACGTAAACACCAATGGTGAAGACTAAATAAATAAATAAAAGCCTGAACAAAGCCTACTGTCTCAAGCCAAAGGACCAGGAAAGAGGCAACCTACCAAGAAAGATAACAAGTGCTTTACTCCAGCAAAACACCACATAAAAATACTGTGCCCTCCACCCATGTACATCAGCAAAGGCCAAATGGTAAGCCTAGACTTCCTCCCCAAGAAGCTGGAGTCAGAGGAGGCTGAGGGGAAGATCAGGACTTTCACCACCACTCAAAAGTAACGAGGACAAACACCCCCGTGGTGTCACTGGAAGCTACCTGGTGATCACTAAAGAGGCACTTCTACCTCCTCCCACCCCCCGACACACACCCACAGAGCCAGGGAGATATCAGTGGAGTCCTAGTGGGAAACCAGAAATCCTACCCTATCCCCCAAGTAATAAAGAGTTCTACCAACTCTGGTGTCAATGGAAGCCAAGTATGAAACCTGAAATTCAACCCCCACCTAGCAGTAACAAGGCAGGGTCTCCCTCCACTGCTGGAATGGTATTGGAGAGATCCAGATAAAATCAAAGATTTAGATAAGATCTGGAGTCTCAGCTATGGTTTCAGTATGTCCTCCCAAAAGCATGTGTTGGGAACTTAATCCCCAGTTCAACAATGATGGGAGGTGGGGGCTCATGAGATGTGGTTAGGCCATGAGGGTAGAGTGAATGGATTAATGCCATCATTACAGGAGTAAGTTCCTTTTAAAAAGAGGAGTCTCTCTCCCTCTCTCTCTCTCTGCCTTCTGCCTTCCACCATGGAATGACACAGCAAGAAGGCCCTCAGCAGATGCCAGCCCCTCAATCTTGGACTTCTCAGCCTGAAATGTGAGAAAATAAATTTCTATTCGTTATAAATTACCCATTCTGTAGTATTCTATTATAGCAGCATGGAACAAACCAAGACAGTCTCATAACATAACACTCAAATAGTCCAAGCTTCAATCAAAATTGCTCGATCTATTAAGAAATAGGAAGGTCTCAAACTGAATGAAAAAAAAAAAAACCCAAAACGATAATCAGCATTATGGATTGAATTGTGTTCCTCCCAAAAAATCTGTTGAAGTCCTAACCTCCAGTACCACAGAATGTGACCTTATTTAGAAATAAAGCCTTTGAAGAAGTAATTAGTCAAGATGAGGTCATAGTGGAGTAGCGTGGGTCCTTAATCCAATATGACATTTTCTTTATAAAAACAGACACAGAGACAGGCAGATACACAGAATGTCGTGTGGAGACAAAGGCAGAGGTTGGAACGGTGCATGTACAAACCAAGGAATGCCAAGGGTTGCCAGCTGTCACCAGAAGCTAGCAGAGACGCCTAGAACAGAGGCTCCCTCAGAGCCCTCAGAAGGACCCAACCTTGCCAATACCCTGATCTCAGACTTCTAGCCTCCAGAACCATGAGAGAATTCCTGTCGTGTTTAGCTACCCAGTTTGTGATACTTTGCAACAACAGCCTTAGGAAACAAATACAGATGGCAACACTGATATAACAGATATGCTGGAACTAGCTGACCAATATTTCAAATCAGTCATCATAACAATACTTCAGTGAACAATTACAAACACACTGGAAATAGAATAGGCAGATACATAGAGACAGAAATTAGGTAAGTGATTGCCTGGAGTTGCGAAGAGGACAGGTGAGACGGGGAGAAGAGAATTGGGGAGGGACTGCTGATGGTTATGGGAGTTTCTTTTTTGCGTGATGAGAATATTCTAAAATTGTTGTGACAGTTGCAAAGCTCGGTGAACCTACTAAGAACCATTGACTCATACACTTTTAAATGGGCAAATTGTATGATACATGAACTATATCTCAAAAATAAAGCTTTTTAAAATACACACACAATGGAAACAAATGAAAAAAATAGAAAGTCTCAGCAAAGAAATAGAAAGTCTCAAAAAAGATATAGAAGATATAAGTAAGAACCAAATGGAAAGTTTAGAATTGAAAATAGAGTAATCAAAATAAAAGACTCAATGGACGGAATCAATAACAGAATGAAGGAGATAGAGGAAATCATCAGGACGTGAATACAGAACAATATAAATTACCCAATCTAAATAACGGAGATAGACTGAAAAAAAAAAAAATTAACAGAACTTCAGGGGCCTGTGGAACTATAACAAAAGAACCAACATGCATGTCATCAGAGTCCCAGAAGAATAGGCGAAAAAGGACAGGCTGAAAAATAACTTTTAAAATGGCTGAAAACTTGCCAAATTTGGCAAAAGATGTAAACCTCCAGGTATGAGAAGCTGAATGAGCACCAAATAGGGCACAGTCAAAGAATACAGAGTTATATAAAGAAAGAATCATTCTTTCCTATCAGTTTTACAACTCATCCCCCAAGGTTGCCAATGCTAAGTCTGATGTGCATCCTCACTTCCCTTTCTCTGTTCATAGGCAAACACACAAAGATAGGTTCGAGTTTTGGCTTTATTTTGTTTTGCTTTTTACAAATATATGATTATACCACTCACCTTACTTAGCAAACTGTTATACTTAACAATATGCTACAATCCTTTCATAGAAATCTAACTCATTCTTTTTAACAGCTGCGTAGTATTCCATACCATGGATGTGTCATAATTTAGTCAACTGCACTCTTATTTTGTACATTCCAATACTGTGCCACTTCAAAGTTGGCAATACTGTGCCAACTTTTTTTGGAGGAAAAAAAAGTTCTTGTTCTACTGTCCTTAAGTACTGGCATTTTTACTTTTACAGAATAGAGTACCCAAAAGGGGATGCTGGGTCAAAGGGTATGTGAACTTTTCTGGTAACAATGGGAAAAATCAGTCAATTTAATGTTTAATTGTTTAAAAGTTTCTATTTGGGAGTTGTATCCAGAATTTAGAGGGACATCAAAAAAAGACCTAGGGCAACGTGGCAGAGTCACAGAGAAAGTGGCATTTGATTTGGAGCCTGAGAGAGGAGTGGATGTTTGCCAGATGATGAGAGGTAAGTGTGGGAGGAGTGTGGCCTGGAGAAGACCATCACTGCTGATCAGAGGGACAGGGGTTGACCAGACAGGCCAAGGGAAGGATATGCCAGGGTGCTCCAAGTGGAGGGAACACATAAAGGTAAGGAGAAATGCAAGAGACTCTGTCTGCTAAAGCATTTGGAGTGTGTGTGTGTGTGTGTGTGTGTGTGTGTGTATGCAAGAGAATTTGCTAAAGCATTTGGAGTGTGTGTGTGTGTGTGTGTGTGTGTGTGTGTGTGTGTGTGTGTGTATGCGTGCATGCCCATGCTGGGGTGGAGGGCAGCTTGGCAGGAAGAACAAAGATAAAGAGATCTGATTTACACTAAACCCAACTGGGATTCATTGAAGGCTTTTAAGCAGTAGAACGACATGGTCAAATCTATTTTAGAAAGATCCCTTGGGGGGAGGATATCATCAACACAGGAGTCTGAGGTTGGGGGTTCACTCCAAAAAAGGATGCATTTACAAAGGCACATGAACCCTTGCAAGGCAGCTCGCGGTGGGAGGGCTAGAAAGCTGGGTCACCAGAGTGTGGTGAGGACAAGCAGCTCGGTGTAAGTGTCCCCAAGGCCTTTGCTAGCAAGCTCCAGAGTCCACGAGCCCGGAGCATCCACAGCAGCTGTGGACAAATAGGGCTTACCAGTGTCCAATGTGTTTATCCACCTGAGGCAAGGTTAGCTCAGCAGTCACGCCCTGCAGCCTTCACTGACCATTCCAGTCTAGCACTTGGATCACCCCCTGAAATGCCCAGCCTATGGTTACAGACTTTTGTAAGCATGTCCACATCCTGCACTGCACTGCCCAACTTCACTGAAACTCCCCCAAAGCAGGGCCCCAACTTGGCCATCCATGTTCCTCCTGAAGAGCTGGAATCGCGCTCCAACCCACTGGTGTTAAGTACATAAGCACTGATGAGTTGACAGGCTGCTTGTGGATTGACTGATTATCACTCAAGTTGCCTGAGGTTTAATGGTTTCAAAATTGAAGAGGGCACGAATTGGGCTTTCCCCCTCACTCCCCGCTCCCCTCTTTTGCAGAAAATATCCTAAAAATAAAATTAAGATGCCAGGACTGCCGTCCTCCCAATTTGAGAAGAAAATTCTTAGCTTCCTTCCAATACATTGTCTTTTGCATATAAAGACAATGCTCCCAACCTGTCCCTTTTCTCAAAATGAAGGAAACAGCTCTGAGTTCTGTTCAAAGCAGATAACTTGGCCCCATACAGTCATCTGAGCTCTCACACGTTTGTGACCTAACCTGCAGGGGTCACTAGGGGTCAGAGGATATCTCGGGGATGTCTGGATAGACTGGGGCTCCTCTGATAATCAGGACCGGGCCAGGCGCAGTGGCTCAGGCTTGTAATCCCAGCACTTTGGGAGGCTGAGGCAGGTGGATCACCTGAGGTCGGGAGTTCGAGACTACCCTGGGCAATGATGAAACCCCCATCTCTACTAAAAATACAAAAATTAGCCAGGCATGGTGGCAGGTGCCTGTAATCCCAGCTAACTCAGGAGGCTGAGGCAGGAGAATGGCTTGAACCTGGGAGGTGGAGGTTGCAGTGAGCCAAGATCGCGCTGCTACACTCCAGCCTGGGTGACAGAGCGAGACTCCATCTCTCAAATAATAATAATAATAATAATAATAATAATAATTAATTTAAAAAAATTTTTTTAAAAGATAGCCAGGACCAAGGTCCTCATTGAGGCCAGGGTCAGGGCTCAGCCTGCAGCATGATGCAGCTGCCCAGTCCTCAGAAGCAGCAATCTGGGCATCCTCAGCCCCAGAATCTTACCACAGACTCAGGAGGCCCAGTCCAGGTCAGATGTTCTCAGCTCCTCAGTTGTTCATGTGCAGAACAGACCCGCCTGTCACTGGACCTGCCTCTGAGTCCGCACTACAGAGCAGCCTGGCCAGCCCCGCCTCCCTCTCAGAAGTCGGTTTTATATCCTGCTCTGGCACCTTCTCCCAGGGAGTGCTCTGAGGGTGTGCTGGAGACAGCGGTGGCTCACATCACCATGACAATGACGCGGCAACCCAGACAGCTCCTCCACTGTGTGGTCTATCTCTCCATCTGGGTCCATGGGTTGTCTTTCAAAATTAAATCAGAAACTAAGGAAAATGAATAAAAAATCACTGGGCCGACTGGTTTTTCCCACTGAGGGCTTCTGAAACCAGCCGCCTAGAAGTCCATTTATGAGAAACTGTAAGTAACCCTTCATCCAGCCCTAGCCACACCCTGTCGTGAATTCTCAGGGCTGCTGGGTCCCGGAAGATGATCTTCCAAAGGCAGGGACGGGGAGAGAGAAGGCATTGAGTGGAGCAAGTGCGCCTGGGGAGAGGATTTGGTCCCCTGGGGGTGAGGGAAATGTGCCCCCGTTTTGATCAAAGATGGAAGAAACAGCAGACTTCGGCCATGCTGAAGATTCCTTCCACAGCCAGATGCAGGCTTCATCATGTGGCCTGTGGCCAGAGAAGAGTGTCATCCTCCTGGTCAGCGAATACATTTTGTACTAACTGAATCTCGTTGCAGGAGAATCTTCCTGGCTTTCTAAAATCTAGTAGTGTTGCCGGTGGAAAACCTCATTCAGACAGCAGCTCTGTGGACTGGGAGCAGCGGGAGGAGGACAAACTTTGAGGGGACTTTTTCCAGCTAAGAATGGTTTTTACATTTTTAAATGGTTGCAACAAAAGGAAGAAGGTGGAGGAGAAGGAGGAAGGAGAGGGGGAAAAAAAGAGGAAGAAGGTCATATATGACCCTCAAAGCCTAAAATATTTACTCTGATCCTTTACAGAAAAACTTTACTGATCCCTAGTCTAAAGCAAAGGGCTTGAATTTCAATCATGGTCCACAAATTTCACTGTGAACAAAAAAATTCTTTGTAACTTTATTTCAAGCTTCTGCTACGGTGCATAAACCAATCTCAGGGGACCCCCTCCTTTCCCTGGGGTTGTGGCCACATTCCTATATAGCTCGAAGTCAATTGGGTGTTCAATGTCGTCCATCCGCACGAGCATCTTCTGAGATGCCCATCATCCTCTCTGCCCCTCGCAGGTCTCTCATCTGGCTCTTTCAGGTCTGCAAGCTCCGGCCTGTATTTCTGCGGCTTGTCTGAAAACCCAGCAATCATTCAGCTGCTCCTGCACCGCAACAGGGAACAGGATTTTTACAGATAGACCATATGGTCCCACCTTGTCGATAACTTCTTTCTCTAAGCTTCCCTGGGGTCCCCCTCAGAGAGTGGGGCACAGGTCCTCTCTGTTCCCAGATCCCACAAACTTCTCTTGGGGTCATGCTGCCTCCCCAGGGCTCTGCCCAGGAGGTAGGGACCAGATTGCTCCCCCCGGGACACACAGGGAACTATACTCTCAGCTTCTCCTCCACTCCTGTGTTCTTTTCTTCCCTTAGCGTTTGGAATCTTTGCTCTTCCAGAGACCAGATGGTGGTTACTCTTCTCAGTCTCCCGGTCTTAAATATTTTTGTCTGACTGTTCAAAGGAGCTTTTTGTTCTGTCTAATACTGTTATTTTAGAACATAAAATTCAGGAAAAGAATTCACAACCCTTTCCTTTCTGACATACCCCTTTTCTCTGAAGGAATCAGTACAGAATGATCAGACTGCTTAAAATTGGAGAGAAGGCCATGCTGGAGGAGAGAAAGGTCTGCGATATTTCACAACTATTTTTCCATCATGCTAAGCTGTTCATTTGTAATTAACTTATTTACTTATACCAGGCTTACTATACAGCCAGCTTATATTGGCTCTCAAGAGCCAATTGTTGAATTTTCAGAAAAGTTCCAAGCTGGTTGTTAAACCATTGGTAGCTTGAAATTGGCCACAATAGGAGCATTTATACCACAAAAAGTGATGAACATACAAAGCCAGGCATCTCCTGACCTACCTCCAAAAGAGCCAGTTGTTAACATTTACTAGCACACAACTGCTCATACCCACCTCATTCCACAAAGGACTTCAGGTAGATTTTCCAAGTGCGGTGTGTCTGAGATGTTAATCACTGCCAGTCCCACTCATTCTCACTCTAATTAGATTTTTTCTACTCAGAGTTTCTGCTGAATAAGCAGCTATGTTTTCTACCCGACGACCCTCCCCACCTTAGCCCACATGTAGCCCTGGCTAACTGGCCTGTGGTGGGCACCCGGCGCAATAGAAGACAGTCCCTAGGAGGGCCAGAAAACCATGCCTTGGAGACCTTGGCTCAAAAAGATGAGGCTATATAGCACTCAGTGTATGAGCTACCCCAGATCTGCACATTTGATTTCTATCTGGAATGGCTGGAGCCGTGGCTTGTCCCATTCCTGTGGTCTTACAGTCAAGTCACAGTCAGAGTCAGGTTGCTGTGGACTCTACCCCTGCAGCAGCCTGGGGGACTTGCTCAAAACCCTCATCGCCACCTCACCCCATGCCTGCTCCAAGCCTCTTGCCTCCCACCTCAGGACGTCCTTGTTGCTGCAGAGACAAGAGACACCAGGGGACCCAATTGAAGCTCACATTACAAACAACCCAGAAATGTGAGGAATTAGCATCCCTTGAAGCAAATTCTAACCAAAAGGATATGGGAGCCCACAGATAAATTCTTACCCTTCCTCCCCTAAGAGTCCAGCCTAGATCAGTGCTTCTCAGTCTCAGCACTGCTGACATCGTGAACCAGATGATTCTTTGTTCAGAGCAGGAGATGCTGTGCCTTGGAGGATGTTTAGTAGCATCTCTGGCCTCTGCCCACAATATCACCAAATGCCATTGTCATCCTCCTGGACATGGCCATCAAAAAATGTCTCTAGATGTTGTTCAGTGTTCCCTGAGGAGCAAAATCACCCCTGACTGAGAATCATTAGCCTGGACAGACCAGAGATGCTGCAGTTTCACGTGGCCTCTCTGAAGATGTCCTGCAACGCCGAGAAATCAGCTGTTAGGCAGCTGCAGCCAGCTTAGCGACACACTCTCCTGCATTTGCTCTCCCCTGTTTCCGCCTCACTCCCCCTTTCTCTCACCCCTGCCTCCCTGAAACTACACTTCCCAATAACATGTAAGCTTTTTCTCCAGTTCTGTTTTCTAGAGAACCTGGGCTAAGACACTTGCTAATTAGATTTCATCGCAAGAATGTGAACTAAGAGACCCAGAGGAACGTTGCCACGCAGTGGTGGAGGCTGCAGCTGGAAGGAACCGTCGTGCTGGGGCTGAATAGAGGAGTACAGGAGACAGGAGTGAGCACAAGGTGGAATAAGTCTGCAAGAAAGAGAACAGGACAGAAGCACAGAGCAGACCCGCTGAGAGAGTGGGAGCAAGCGTGGGAAGGAACAGGGATTCCTCTTAAACCCTCATGGAAAACCCTGTGCTTGAGTTAGCTTAAGTGGGTCTCTATCGCTTACAATAACAGAACCACTGAAACTTTTGGAAACACCCTAATTTCCCACAGAGCTCATACAAAGCTCATTTCAGCCCAATTTAAGGAATAACATTTTAACAATTAAAGACGTTCTCTTTTGGAATGGGGAGGTGCAGGACAAGGGACAATGCGCTTCCCCTCCCTCATTGGGCTCATTCCCAAAGGGAGTGGACAGCCAGCCTCCCGTCAGAAACATGGCAGAGCAGTCAGGCATGGTGGCTCACACCTGTAATCCCAGCACTTTGGGAGGCCAAGGCAGGAGGATTGTTTGAGCCTAGGAATTCGAGACCAGCCTGGGCGTTATAGCGAGGCCCCATCTCTGCACAAAATTTTAAAATTAGCCAGGTATGGTGATGCACACCTATAATCCCAGCTACTCGGGAGGCTGAGGTGGGTGGATCACTCGAGCCTAGCAGTTTGTGGTTACAGTGAGCTATAACTGGGTGACAGCCTGGGTGACAGAGCAAGACTGTCTCAAAAAAAAAAAAAAAGAAAAGAAAAAGAAATATGGCAGAGGATGTGCTCCCACGCTTGAGGACTTGGGAGAGCTATTTGGGTGCCCTCTACAGTTCCTCCCTCCCCACCTGACTCTGAACTTCCCTGATTCCTGAACTTACATTCAGAAAAACTGGGTTTTCTACCCTGATTCTCTGGCCACCTTGCTGTGTACCCCTAAGCAAGCACCCGCCTTCAAATGTAGGTCTTGTTTTTCTCATCTGTATAGAAAGAGGTTTAATGTCTTGCTTGTTGAAAATTTGAAAAACATGAAGTTCACATGACAGATGTCAGAACCCAGAGCCCAAGTAATAACACCAGGTGAGAATGTAAGGAAGTTGGCCAGGCACAGTGGCTCACGCCTATAATCTCAGCACTTTGGGAGGCCAAGGCAGGTGGATAACCTGAAGTCAGAAGTTCAAGACCAACCTGGCCAACATAGTGAAACTCCATCTCTACTAAAAATACAAAAATTAGCTGGGCATGGTGGTGGGCGCCTGTAGTCTCAGATATTTGGGAGGCTGATGCACTTGAACCCGGGAGACAGAGGTTGCAGTGAGCTGAGATGGCAACACTGCACTCCAGCTTGGGCGACAGAGCAAGACCCAGTCTCAAAAAAAAAAAAAAAAAAAAAAAAAAAGGAAGTCTATGAAGAGCAAAGTAAAGACCTATCCTTGAGTGCAGAAATCTGGCTGTGTTGGCACGGGATGCAAAGAACATGATTCTGCATCAACAGGCATAGAAAATAATTTAGAAAATAATAGTGAACTCTAATTTCATGAAATTAGTAGTGTGATATGGTTACCAAGAAATAAATGCTACCTGGACCACATCAATAGAAGCATGGGGTCCAGAATATGGGTGATGGCCACATCACTCTCCTTTACACTGCTACAGACTCATCCGAGGTACTGAGTCCCCCACACTCTCAAAGGGACATATGTGGTCAACCAGGCTTGATCAAAGAAGGGTAGCCTCAGGTAAATGAACAACCAGAATCCACTGTGTTGGAAGGACATTCGTTGGAGCTACGAGTGCTCCTCCTGTGAAAGGGAAGATTTGGGGAAACAGGAGGACCAATTTCAAGAATCAGAAGGGCTGTCATGGGTTAGAGGGAACTGACTTCAGCGTGGCCCAGTTATCCAGACCTAGTTCAAGGAACTCAAATGGATAGAAGCTACTGGAAGATCAATCACAACTAAACCTGAGGCAGGGTTTTCCCATGCTCATACTGGGAGTTGGATCGGTTCTGCAGGGCCTGGATGGAAACAATGGTCGGGATTGTAATAGCTACTTATTAAGTGTTTTCTGCATGCTGAGGACTCTACACATATTTCATCTTTACAACAACCCTAGGAGGCAAGTAATAGCATCTCTAAGTTACAGTAAAGAAAACTGCAGCTTGGAGATATAGGAATCCGGGAAGATCTAGTAATCAAGGCCCTAGGAACTGACTCCAAAGCCTGTCCTTAAATACCGTTGAACAGGAGATGCTGGTGGAGAAGACAAAGCTTCAGCTGAGAGCATAGTAATGATAATAGCCAACGCTTGCACGGCATGGGCTGGGCCCCATTCTGGGTGTTTTGCATATGTCAGCAACATAAATCACAACACTTTAAGACATCATTTTAATCTACAGGAGGGGAAACAAGCAAGGCAAATTTAAGTAACTTGTCCAAGGTCACTGGTTAATAGTAGAGCTGGGATGCTCTTAACTGCTATACTACCCTGCCTCCCACCTGAGCTAGAACTAGGAGGTTTCTCTTTTTTGGTGGCTTCTAGATTCAGCACCTGTTACTCCCCACATGGGAGTCTCAGAGACAAGCCCTTTTCCCCATGGCTTACCACAGAAACTCTTGCCAAAATTACAATTTGATGGGGGGTGCCCTTGGCCCCTGTAGTAGCTGGGTTTCGTTCCTTCCCGGTTCTATGCCATCTGACAGGCACACTGATTCTCAAGGGTGGTGGACCCTGTCCTCAGATATAGGCACCAGCCATATCACCAGCCCGTCCTGAGCCCCAGCCCCTGGAACCTGGCTCTGCCTCTCAGCCACTTCACTCGAGTCTCTGACAAGGGCAGCTATTTTGGGTGAGAAATGGGGCAGGCAGAAAAAATTTCATTCAAGCCATTAAAGAATCACTGCATTTTTCATGATTAACTTCATGTGCGCAGATTGAATGCAAAAAGCTGTTAGCAGAGCATTTCCATTTCTGTACCTGACATGAGCAATGGGAATATTTGTTCTGCCCGGGAGGATTACACCTTCCATTAATCTCAGTTTTATTGAAAGTTTCAATAACAGACAGACACAATGTGATCAATTAGCTGTGTAATTCCAAGGAGATGTCATAGTAAAATTAAATCTCGAGCACATTCACGGCAAAGATGCCGGCAAGTTCTCTCCAGTCTCCCTTCACCATCGCAGTGTGTATATTTTAATTGAAAGTTTATTCTGCTATGTGCCTCGTCTACTAAATTTTAATTTAACATTGTAATGAAGAGGGTGTTTCTGAGGAGCTCTTCATAGACAAGTCCAGGAGGTTTCACAAATTAAGAGAACAAGTGAATTTATGGTACTTTCCAAGCTGCTGTGGGAGAAGAGGGCACCCCTAATCCTTTGGAGGGTATCTCAGGGCCTGGAGGACCAGCCCAAGGGATGTTTAGCAAGTCTGGGCAGCTGGACCAAACGGTGACCACATCATAGAAACTGTAAGGTCCCAAGAGACTGGGATCTCAGGCCA